>NC_000013.11:70680833-70832348 GCF_000001405.40 Homo sapiens | reverse complement strand
AGTTTTAGACTTCACCTAAACTGTAGCATTGAGCCGAGTGGAGAAAAAGTAATTTTTTTCTAATTTTTTAATATCATAATCAGATTCTGTAACAAGTATGCGTTATTAGGGCAATTGAATTATCTTAAACATTTTCAACTGCTACCACAAGTTCACAAAATTAGCCTCAGGCACTAAAAAACTTAAAAGCCAGTCTGATGGTGTTTCTTACAAATATTCTTTGAATTTTATGACTTGTCTCCCACATGAGGCGTAATGGTTTCAATGTTCCAATTAGTACTTGTGTATATTGCTATTACTTTGTCTCTTTAATCACATTATTAAGACTGTTATGGAGATTCCTTATAGAATCACACTTTATAATAGTGTTTCTAATTTGAATATGTCCTTTTTTATGTTGTCTGATTCTGAAACATCATAAACTCTTTTTATGGGTCCTTTGATAGTAGTCACTTTCCTTCTTTATGCTTGATTAGAACATACAGTACTAAGTAATAAAGAAATTTCCTGAAGCTTTAGAGTTTTAGCATCAAGGAAAAAAAAATTGAACTTCCTTTCTCTTGTGTGTTTATGCTGGGACAAATAAAGGTATTTTTGAACCTATACTGTTTTTTGACTACTTTACTGGGATGTATACAACAAATTCTGCTGAATTGATATTTGCTTATGTGTTTTAAAACTTGAACCTAATTGTCATGTACTCTGGTAGTTCCTAAGACTCTCCTTCTCCTCTGTAAATCAATTTTTTATAAACCAATGGGTATTATTTTTTAAATAAATCCTTTAAGTATTACATACTGACATGCAAATAACATAATAGGGGACATGGAAGCATGATACCTAATGCCTCCTACTTCAAGATATTAGACTAGAGTAGTCTGTCTTTAATACCATCATTTCCCTTGAAAAGAAGAAGTTGGATAATTAAAAATGGAAAAATTTTGCAAAATATTTGTTAGATGTCTTGACCCATATGAACTCAGAAATAGTTTCATAAAACCCTTTCCCAATATAGAGAATTTTAGTCTTAGTTTTAAACCTTCAAATGCACAGCCAATCATCTGGAGCAGGCCTCATACAGACCCCAACATGGACTTATTCTAATATATGCAAGAACATCTTTAAAGTCTTAGGTACATTTTGGTTTAATTTTGACTATCAAGAGCAGAATGATAAAAATTCTTTCTTTACCATTTAATTTCTTTCTGTATTTTAAACTTTCAAATACTTACATTAAAATAATTTTAGGCCAGGCACAGTGGCTCATGCCTGTAATCCCAGCACTTTGGGATGCCAAGGTGGGTGCATCACAAGGTCAGAGTTTGAGACCAGCCTGGCCAACTTGCTGAAACCCTGTCTCTACTAAAGATACAAAAATTAGCCAGGTGTGGTGGTGCGTGCCAGTAATCCCAGCTACTCGGGAGGCTGAGGCAGGAGAATTACTTGAACCTGGGAGGCGGAGGTTACAGTGAGCCAAGATTGTGCCATTGCACTCCAGCTTGGGTGACAGGGTGAGACTGCATCTCAAAAAAATAAAAATACATAATAGTAATAATAATAATTTTAAAAATAGCTGCGTGACTCCCATTAATAAAAGAGACACTTCTGAAAATCCCATCATCTTTACAATCACAATAGACATGCAGATTGATTTTGATGATCATAAATCTTTTAGAATAGTACTTGGTACTGTTTTATCTCTGCTTCCTTCCATTACTTTGAGTAGAGCTTGACATAGGATTGCCAGATTTAGCATATAAATATACAGAACACTCAGTTAAAATTGCATTTCAGAAAAACAGCAAATAACATTTTAGTTATGTCCCATGAAATATTTGGGACACACTAATACTAAAAATAGGTATTTTTTTTCAAATGCAAATTTAACTGGGCATCTGGTAACCCTAACTTGGCACAGAAAGAGCACAGAATAAATATTAATGGCTTAAGTTCTCCAGGTGGAAAAGCGTGAGTGGAGTTAAAGCTGCTGTATAAGTGCTTTCTAGTTTGCCAAGACAGTTGGATTATCCTTGCCACTCTATTTCCATGTTAGCCGATGTAATTGAGAGTATACTCAAAAGTCACTTTAGTCTTAAAACTTGAATCTTAAAATCGGACATTTGAAATCTAAAGCGATAACTTTTATGACATTCACTTAAATTAAGACAGGAATCATACAGAGAATAATAGCCCTGGCCAATGTCAAAAATACTTGATCTCAGCCAGAGACATGCTCAGCTTCAGTTGAGCAAGTGGACTGTGAAGTTATACCTGTGGTATAAGAAGGAGAGGCAAGGACCGCCAGACGCATAGCATACAGTTGTAGAACAGTCAAGACACAGCTCATCATCAGAGAGCAACTTCAAAAAAGAAAATCCAACCACTTAACATCAGTAAGAATAAAGAAAACCACCAAGAGCTGTGGTTTGTAAGTGTGGTTTTATGTTCATTTAAAGAGGTGAGAAAGTCTATTTTTAAAAAGCAGATCGATGCTATAGTGGAGGAGTTAAAATTACACTTGCCTGGCCCCACCACAGGATATACTATTTTAATGTATCTAGGACAACGTTATTTTTTTTTCAGCTTTATTGAAGTATATTTGACAAATTAAAAAAAAAATGTACACATTTAAGTTGTCCAAAGTTGTTTTGGTACACATATGCATTTTGAAATAATCACCACAAGGTAGTTAACATATTTATCACCTCACATAGTTCCATTTATTTTATTTTACCTTATTATTATTATTATTATTATTATTATCATTATTATTTTGGAGATGGCATCTCAATCTGTTGCCCAGGCTGGAGCGTAGTGGCCAGAACACGGCTCACTGCAGCCTCAGCTTCCTGGACTCAATCAATCCTGCTGCCTCAGCCTCCTAAGCATCTGGGACCACAAGCATGCACCACCACTCCCAGCTAATTTTTGTATTTTTTATACAGATGAGGTCTCACTATATTGCCAAGGCTAGTCTTGAAATACTGGACTCAAATCATCCTCCTGCCTTAGCCTCCCAAAATGTTGAAATTACAAGTGTAAGCCACTGTGCCAGGCTACAATTTTTTTTCTTTTCTTTTTTCTTTCTTTCTTTTTTATGTTATGTTATTTTATTTTATTTTATTTTATTCTATTTTGAGACAAGAAGAGTTTCACTCTTGTTGCCCAGGGTGGAGTGCAATGGCACTATCTCCACTCACTGCAACCTCCGTCTCCCGGGTTCAAGCAATTCTCTTGCCTCAGCCTTCTGAGTAACTGGGATTACAGGCGCCCACCACCACGCCCAGCTAACTTTTGTATTTTTAGTAGAGATGAGGTTTCGCCATGCTATCCAGGCTGGTCTTGAACTCCTGACCTCAGGTGATCCACCCGCCTCAGCCTCTCGAAGTGCTGGGATTACAGGCGTGAGCCACCGCACCCAGCCCCATTTTTTTTTTCTTTTTTGTGATAGGAACACTTAGATTAAGTGTTAGCAAATATAAATTTATAATACAGTATTGTTAACTATAATCACATTGCTATACCTTAGATCCCCATGTATTCATTTTGTATAAGTGAAACTTTGTACCCTTTGATTAACATTTCCCCATTTCTTCCTTCCCAACTCTGGATAACTTGTGTTATGAGTTTCACTATATATGAAATGGTGCTAATCGCTGATTTTCAGGGAAATGCAAATGAAAACTACATTGAGATATCACCTCACACTTCTTAGAAAAACTAGTATGAAAACCTTAAAGATAACACATGTTGGCAAGGATGTGGAAAAAAAGAAACGGTGGCTGCACATCATCGGTGGGAATGTAAATTGGTTGGCCATTATGAAAAGTGGTATGGAAGCTCCTCAAAAAACTAAAAGTAGGACAGCTATCATTTATTAAAGCACCAAAAGGGGTTCACTTGTGTAATCGTTGTCAAGACCTCTGGAAATATCCACTCTGTTTAGAATATTTTAATAGGAGTATAATTTTTTGTACATCCCATAAATGTGCAGGATATATATATATACACACACACACATATATATACATATATTTAGACACACAAACACACACCATATATATGAGGTAAAGTTTTACTATTTATAATATTTTTCTCCACTTGTAGTTTTAGGAAGAATTTATTTGTATCAGGTCAGGATCTTTCTCCAAGCATTATCCATAGACAAGAGGGATGAATGAAATATGGTCTGAGTTCTTGCATGCACTCCAGTGAGTTTATTTTACAATGGCAGGTGAATTTTACTTTGACTGTTACAGGGTTTTACATTTCTGACCCTTTCTCTCATTGGTTGATAGATGCTACTCTATTCTTATTTAGCTTCTAATGTTTGAGAAGAGAACATGAAAGTTTAATGCGATTTCCTTTGTTAGTAAGTTTTTCTTTCTGCCTAAGAAGCTGTAAGAAATTCTCTTTATACTCAGATTTCAGGAGTTACAAAAGGTTGCACTATAACAATTTTAAAATTTTCTATGTTGAATTGTGAATATGTATTACCTTACAAATGGTCTTTTAGGTAATATGTATGTGCTCAAGCTAGCAAAGAAAATTCTACCTAATCTAAATATACCATAAGTAATTTAGAATAAATGCTCAATGAGAAGAATGAGTGTTCCCTGAGAAGGTCAGCAGGACACTGAGAATAGTCCGTATATGGTTGTACCTAACTTGGGAGATTCACCACTGCCCATTGTTTGTGCCTTGAAGTTGAGAAAATTATTTTGTTCATGACCCAAAGTTGACCCCACACTGGATAATGCTTCAATCTGAAAAAATAAAACAGAATATAAACATAATAATTAATAATAAGTAAAAGAATAAATGGAAACACAAATTGTTGGAATTAGTTTAGCTATCATATGTTTCTCCCTGTAGACAAAACACATTCAAAGCCACATTATCAGTATATAATATAGTTAACATCAATTCACTTAAGAATTAAAAATATTATTTATTGAAACTCTGCCTTGTGTCAGATACTTTCCCAGGTGAAAGGGATACATTAACAAAGATAGGCAAGATTGCTGCCATCAAGAAGCTTATATTCTAGTGGAAAGTACAGATATTTTACAAATAGCAATAAACAGGGAGATAGATCGATAAATGAATGTCGTATTACTAGTACAAAGAGGCTTACAGGTTTTGGAGATCACAGAACATGGGGACATAACATAGTTTGGAGACAAAAGTATTCATGTCCTGAGAAGATGGTGTTCAAGCTAAGATCTGAAAATGGTTAATTGGGTGAAAAGTTTAGAAGAAGCACATTTGAAAGAGAAGACTGCTTATGTGCAAACACCAAGGTAAGGAAGAATTTGGCTTTCAAGTCACTGAAAGGAGGCTCCTAAGGAAAATATCCCTTTCCTTGTATTAAAACAAAACAAAACAAAACAAAAACAAAAAATGACAAAAATAATATAAATGCTTGATAGAGTATAAACTGTGCAGGGGCAAAAACGAAAGTGAAGAGACCAGGAATAGAAGGGAAAAAAGCCTATGCAAGTTAGAGTAGGGTTATATTAGAGCAGAGGAAGAGACATGAAAAGCTTTACATCTATTTGGAAATTGAAAGCACAGAATGTAGAAAGTAAAGCAGATGAGAAAGGCAGATTATATAAAGATTTTAAGTTTGGGCAAGCTAATGTGTGAATGTAATATAAATGTAGAAATGTTAAATAAGCATTTGAATATATTGCTTGAAACTTAGAAGTAAGATATGACCTAGCAACACAACTTCAGCACCACTGGTATAAAATGACATCTACACCCATGAGGACAGCCAAGATTTTCTAGTGAGTCAATAGAGAGTGAGAAATAAAGAGAGTTCAGGACTAAACCAGAGGAAACTTTAAAAGGTGGTAAAAGAAGTAGCTAGCAAAGGGGACTAAGAAGGAAAAGAAATGTAAGAGAGAAATAAGAAAAATGTTGGAAAAGTAGATTTTGTAAAAAATGTAATGCATGCTTACAGAAAACTAAAGAGAATTGACATTATTTGAAGAATAAATTAATCTTTAATATGTTAATCATTACTATGAACTATAACTATATTATCGCAAGTTGTGATATATATATAAATTATGTTCCATGTTTAGTGTGAATATAACTTGATGACTAATAATTAATTGCTAAAATCAGTATAGATTGGGTTGATTGGTGAATTGAGTGATAGATGAAATAGAGACTATGTGTGTGGAATACTTTTTTAAAAAGCTATGGTAAAAACAAAAAAATATGCAGAGAAGAAAGAAAATGAAATGAAGTTGGAGGACAAGTGTGTGCTCTTTTTCAAAATGAAAGATATTGTAGCCAGTTTAGATATTAGTTAAAATTTTCCAGTAGAGAAAACCAGTTTTTAAAATACAGAAGAGAACGGAAATGAGCAATTTAAAAGTGGATGGGATTTGCGGTGATTTGGACATTAGAAAAGAGTTCACTCTCTGTGAGTAGAGGGAAAAATATGATGGAAAAGGTTACCAAAATGGCTTATATCTCTGACAGAAAATGAGAAATTTGAATTCTATGCCTATGTTTTCTGTTTTGCTTTTGTTTTTGTATTTCCTTAGCAGAGTATGAAGTTACGAGAGATATTCTGAGGAAGGGAGGGAGAATGAACTTGAGAAGTTAAAAAGTAGAGAATAAAATATTGCAGCGAATGAGAGAAGAAACTTACAAGAGAATTTTATTAAAATTTTAAGAAAACATTGTCCATTTTAGGATGATGATCACGAATGTACAAAACTTCCAAAATTCCCAATTTTCTGATTTTATCAGAGAAGAGGGTCTTTTGGCTTCCATCAAGATCATAGTGTTCCTGGCAGATATGTGATGAGGGGAGAAAAACAAGGAAGCTAAAGCTGTATGTGAAACGAGTGATTCAAATAAAGACCTGTATTGGAATGCCACTTTCACTGCTGGGAAAAAAAAAAACAAAAAAGGAGAAACTGTTAGTGGGTTAAGTAAGACAGAATTTTTTGTGAAAGTGTCAAACAAAGTCAGTCCATAGTTCATATCACAAGTTTTTTAGTGGTACGGATGAAAGTTTTCTAGCTCTTTATTTTGCCAACCTCTACATCAGTTTCTAAAGTCTAGGAGGTATGCCAGCTGCCACCATCACATCTACCTTCTAGCCATAAGGAAGGGGAAAAAAAGCAAAAAGAACATCTAATCCTTTCCAAATCCAAAATTGGCCCAATCCAAAATTTGAAATAATCACTTCTGTTCCATTGCACAGAACACATTTATATGACCAAATCTAGCTGCAAGAGAGCTTAGAATATATAATCTCTTTCTTATTGTCCTTATACCTAGCTATAACTATTACCAGTGACGAACGGGGAAACTAGTAGTCTCTGTCATAAGCACTATGGAGTATATGCTGAAAACATAGGAGACAAGAGAAAGGAGAGGATACTATCTAGGTAACAACTTTCTCATGTATTTACCTCACTTTTCTTTAGAGCAAAGTTTTCAGCAAATAACATACATTTCAAGTATGAATATTGCGCAGTGAAGGATTACCTCAGTGGGTTTGGAGTGCTCAAATCTGCACATTCTGAAGAAAATAATAAACTAGAAATGACATTTATATTGGATTCAAAAGGAGTATGATAAATTCAAAATAAGTATCAAATTTGGTGTATTATTATGAGTTTTTAAAATCATAACATGTTATGATTTTAAATCATTAAAATTTATTTAACAATAAAACCATGGATTAGTCCATAACAGGACTAAATTATGAGAACATGATCTAGCTTCAAAAGTTAATGAAAATATAATTAGTATTACTTGTGCCACATGTAGCTGAAAAGAGTTGTAAATCCTATTAATCCTTCTTAGTTCACAAATTATTGACCTGATAGGCAATAATCTCTTAGCTTTATTGTGTCAATTTAGCTTAAGCATTTGAACATTGTCTTGAGCTAAAAATTCTTCCTTATTACTTCAGTGTTTTGAAGAAACAAAGATAATTTGAAAATAAAGAACAGATAACTCCACAGGAAAAAAACTTTATAAAAATATGTGTAAGTATATGAATATACATACATTGATATACACACAAATATATGATGTAAGAAACAAGATATGTGAATATAAACTCTTTGAATTCAAAATGAAGAAATTCTATCAAAAATACTTTTGAATTCCTGAGTATAATGGAATTATACTTATTAAAGTATACTTGTAATTATTAAAATGTATTAGGCATTAATACATACAATAATTAAGATTTTTATTTATTATATTATATTAGAAGTATATATACACTTTGGAAATTTCTTCAGCGTATTCCAGTCAGTTAAACAGAGTGTAATATGGAAGTGACATATTGCAGTGAAATTAATACAAACTTGGGGTGAAGGTGTTAGGTTTATATTCTAGGGCTCTTTACTACCACCTGGATAATTTTGGTTGTATTTTAAATCTTCAATATTTTTATAATATCTCATCTGTAAAATTTGGTTGATAACAGGTACCACACCTTTTGGTTGTGTGGCGTGACTTACTGCCTCAAACTATCAGTGAAAACTAGTTGAGTCTGAATCTGTTAAGGAGTGGTGCTCTATATTTTTTGAATGTTCACTTAACCTTTAGAGTGGAGCTCCTGACTTGCTACTCTTGACGCTTCTCATCTTCTATCAGGATGTGTTTTTCAATGTTATGTTAACTTGTTGGGTTCTGTGCTTTAAATGCCATTCAGCTACTCATACATGTATGTATAATATATCTATATCTCTATATCTCTATATATCTATATTTATATATGTTAGCATTTCTCTTTAAACTCACTAATAAAATATGCTCTTGAAAGTAACATTCACTTAACTTCATTTGTCGTTAGGCCTTACAATGAAAACTTTTTAATTAAGAGACATAGCATAATGTTCATTAGTTGAATCTGTTTATAGTAATGAACCCACATCTAACACTTTTAAATACGTTGGCTCACACAAATAGACTGTGATAATACTCATTTAACTTATGATGAAAATGAATCTAGAAATATAAGTGATCACTAATATACTTTATAATTTTATCACACCATAAGCATAGACTTTTATTAGCTTCAATTGAAGGGTGAATTAGAACTCTCTGAGTTACAAAATATAGGAATCCTTCTCAGGCTAACTTATGCTGAAGAAGAAATTAATAAAGTCAGGTAAAAGCAAGTTCACAAAACTATCATTACCATCGAGGGACAAATATTAGAGATAATTCTGATTGGCACAATCACTGTGCCTAAAAAAAGTTATCACTGCTGGATTGGTGATTAGCCAGGCCTGGACCGTATACTGTTCCCTGCGGCTCTCTTTACTGAAGAGAATATATAAAGAATAAGAGAAAAATTACAGTCACAAGTGAATGCAGATTGAAAAAACAAATGTGTCCTCTTCATGGGAAGTCACCTGTCATGTAATATTTCAATGATGTTGAATAAACAACATGTGGCATTTTCTCTTCTTTATCAAATTGGAAATTATATTCTGTGGAAACTGGAGTAATGAGCACCCATATAATTACTATATTAGATTTCGATTGCTGTCATAACAAATTGCTACAAATATAGTGCTTTAAACAACACTTAAGTATTTTCTTATGGTTTCTGTAGGTCAGAAGTCTAAAATGGTGTGACTAGTTTCTCTGCTCAGATTCTCATCAGACTAAAATTAAAGTTTAGACAGGACTGTGGCCCCCAAATGAGACTTAGGGGTCTCTTCCAAACTCACTGCTTGCTAAATTTATTTATTTCTCACATCTTCCACGTGTTTCCTTCCATTACACTCTCCTGTCAACCCCCCTTTCTGACTGCTTTCCAATAAAACTATAATTATATCGTTTATTTGTTTTGAAGTGCCCATTTGATCACAATGGTATTTATGACAAAATTTAAACTCCCTGGCTTAGTCTACGAGATTATTAATAATCTAAGTATGGATTATTTTTCTAGCATGGAGTAGTGCTATCCTCCAGTGATACCCTTTATACAGGTGTAGGTGTCTATGTAACTGTTTGCATGTGCTAAAAGTGACAGAATCTCCTATTCTTTACTATTTTAGCACATAGACTCAGGGACTGAATGCAATCTCTTCCCTACTTGTGGATAATTTGCACATACCATTGAAAACTTAAGTCAAAATGTGATTTTTGCCTTTTTGGTGTCTGCTCTCTATATTACAATCAAACAAACAAACAAACAAAACAAAAAAAACCTTAATTATTTTCATAGGCTTACTCATTTATTTCTATTATTGATGTATCTATTTGGTCTTCCTTGTTGCCCCTTAGGTTATCATTTCATATGAAACTTGGTTTCACCAGTACCTAGCCTAATAGGTATTATTAAAATGTTAATTGAATTAATAAAAAAAATAAAAGTAGTATGGAGGCTGTGGCAGGAGAATCGCTTGAACCTGGGAGGCGGAGGTTGCGGTGAGCCAAGATCACACCGTTGCACTCCAGCCTGGGCAACAAGAGCGAAACTCTGTATCAAAAAAAAAAAAAAAAAAAAAAAAAAAAAAAAAAGAGTTGTATATGTATCAGCATGCCCATTTCCTATAGACAAGCTTTCAGGGCCAAATTAAATGATTTTGGTTGGAAAAGTGTGATAATAAAGGCTCCCCCAAAGATGATTAGATACTAATCATCACAACCTATGGATATGTTACCTTAAAAAGAGATTTAGCAGATATGATTAAGTTAAGGACCTTGAGATGAGGAGATCATTCTCAATTATTAAAATTGGGCCCAATATAATCACAAGAGCCCTTATAAGGGGAAGATAATGGAATCAAAGAAGAAAGAGATGTTACCAAAGAACCAGAGGTTGGAGTGAGCAGTGATACACTTTCAACACTGGGGAACCATGAGGCAAAGACTGCAGGCAGCCTTTACAAGTTGGAAAGGTGTATGGAAGTGGATTTTCCCCCAAAACCTTTAGAAAGATTGAAGCCCTGCCAATTTCTTGAGGTTAGACATCTGCTAGTAGACTTTTGTTGTTTTAAACCCATAGATTTGTGGTAATTTGTACATAGGCAATATATAATTAATATAAAGTAATTATAAGATGTAGAAAGTTACCTGACAATATGCATACATCTAATCCCATTGACAGTAAAAAAAACTTTCTATGTTCATGTTTACAGCAAGCATAGTCTTGCCCTGGATACTTGAAAAATAAGTCCCATGAGCTAAGACACCACCTGCTTTAGACAATTCCGAATACCCAGTGTAAACATTTCTTCCTTGATTCCCTCTATCCTTTTACTTTTCATTTCAAAAATGTAATTATATTATTTCTTTGCTTAGACTATAATCAAGCTCAGTTTGTAAAAGTCAAATACTCTTGTTGTGGGAGGCAAAGTAATATTTTTGTTTATTTTATCAGATATCAGTGTTATCCTCCAAATCAGAGTTTTGGAGTCACCTTTCTTAAGCTTTTATGAGATATAACAAGTTGCATTATTAAATGGGTTACCTCTCTAAATATCAGAGTTATGACACATCATTTTCCATTTTTAAAACCATATGCATGTAGATGCTGTGGTTCTCCATTGATATCAGTATTTGTGGATTAAAATGCATTTTTTTTAAAAATAAAGGAAATACATAGAATCTTTGAGAGCAGGATAGTGTCCATAAATTTTTGTTTCAGATTTTAATTTTCTCTAATGATGTCAAGAATTTTACACTTCAAGCTTTGCTCTCCTTGTTTTAGTTTGAGCTTATAATTTCTTGTTTATTAGGGAGAATTCTCACCATCACATAAATAAAGAACTATTAAAAATACATGAAACAGTCATTACATGAATAACATTCATAATGTCTCTTAAAATTTCTATGCCATGAAAGCTGTATTGGTTGCGTCTTTTGTAAGAATTAAAGTTGGTTTCAAAAAGCAAATGATAGATGATGACAAGGTTGAAGTATGGCAATACTAGGGCATCTTTTTGTTACATTGATATACATTGAATGTGTGCCCTCTCAACTGTCATTTTCCTTATCTCGTCATTTTCATTGCTTCCATTTTTTATAATAAATTCTCTACATATTCTTAGTCTGTTTCAATCCACCTTAATCCAATATGTTTGTGACTGTAAGAAGTTGTCATTTGAGGACACTTAGAGAGATGATGTCCATAAAAGGATATTTTTCCAGTGGTATAATTAACAATCTCATATGCACATCTCTAATAATTTTTTAATAGCTGAAGTAAAATTTGTTCCAAAAAGATAGAAATATAATTACAATTTTGTATTCAAATTATTTAATAAAATAGATTGTAGTATTCAGTCTGATCATCCACATGGGCAATAAGGATTAAACTAGCACTTCAGAAAGTTACTCCAGTTCTTAAAATTTTGGACGTTTAAACATTTTTATCGATAATTCTTACTAATGTTTCAAGTATTTAGTATTATTTATTTAGACCAATACTTAGGGATCTACTCATTCTTTTAATATATTTAGAATGGGTAAAATTGTGAAAAATATATTTAGAATGTATAAAAATTACAATATATTAAGAATGTATAAAATTGAATAGATGGTTGTTAAGGAATATAAAATTGTATACAAACCTTCATAAACGGAATACACTAGCATTCCCAAATTTCTGATAATGAGTATAGAAAATTTGCATTTAAGTTGTATATTGAAGCAATATTCTGCTAATGCTTTTGTATTATTTTGTCATTTGTCAGAAGAAATGTCAGCTCACTGAACAATGAACATTTAGGTATCTATCATAGTTCCATATGACCAACTTAATTTTGTTTGAAACTAGATATAATTTAAAGCCTAAGAATCAAATGCATAATCAGACACCAAGTCATATACTCAGTTTTGTATTTCAATTATTAAGCATTTACTTTTTTTTTCTTTCTGGGATAGGAATTTGCTCAGCCTCCCAGGCTGGAGAACAGTGGCATGGCCATAGCTCACTACAGCCTTGAACTCCTGGGCTCAAGCTATCCTCCCGCCTCAGCCTTTCTTTCTTTCTTTTCTTTTGTTTTCTCTCTCTCTTTTTTTTTTTTTTGTTTGTTTTTGAGACGGAGTCTCTATCGCCCAGGCTGGAGTGCAGTGGCGCGATCTCGGCTCACTGCGATCTCCGCCTCCCGGGTTCACGCCATTCTCCTGCCTCAGCCTCCTGAGTAGCTGGGACTCCAGGTGCATGCCTATACTTTTAGGAGAGAGGGGGTTTCACTGTGTTAGCCAGGATGGTCTCTATTTCCTGACCTCGTGATCCGCCTGCCTCGGCCTCCCAATTCAGCCTTTCAAATAGCTAGGACTACAGGCACGTGCCACCATTCCCAGCTAAAAAAGCATTAAAAGTATTTCCTTTTAATATATGAATCTTTATTGTCCTTAGAGGTGAAGCAACATTACCTGTTGACCTTCCTCTCAGCCCCCATGTACTACTAAAAACACCACACAGAAGCTGCTTTCTACTTCCCAAATGTTCTCTGGGTGATTTACATATACTACATCTTTTAATCATCACAAAACCTCAGTCACGTCTATATTATTTTTTCAGTTTTTCCGATGAGAAAATTGAACTTTTAGTCAGATAAATGACCTCACTCAAGACCCTGCAGTTAGTGACTGGTAAAGCTAGGATTCTTCTTCCTGTCTACTTAATTTTAGAACGGTGATCTTGACTATGAACTTTTATGGCTTAGAGCTCTCAAAACTCTCTCCGTTCTAGGACGACACCTAGTTTAGGACAGAGCACATATGAGAAAGTTTAACATAACATTTTGAAATTTAACATTGTTAGTGCACTACCCTCCAAGTGTTTCCTGACCAAAAAGTGCAAATCGTTTTTCTCAGCTACTTTTTAAGATTCTCTGTTGCCTTGTAGAATCCACTACCCCTTGACCTATACTACCTGCCTCTTTGCTCTTTGTATGAAATTTCCTGCCATAAGAATGAGTTTTCTTCAAGCGTATAGTTGGCAAGACTTTCTAATTGATTCTGAAAAATCTTCAAATCCCTCTACTGAAGTCTGTCAAACCTTAAAATCCCCGTACTTCCTTAGCTAAGTTGCAAAGTCATGCAGTGTGCCCAATGAGGCTGGCCACTTCCAAAGATATTATGTAGTTGTAAAAGACAAATAATAATTCTGAAACCAAAGTAATGCTCGCTTATTGAAAAGGTCAGAAAAAGAAAAACAAAAGTTTTGTTTTTTTCTGATAGCAGAGGTTATGTGAATCTCACAAGTAAAGTCCTATCTTAGTTGAAAATCTTTCTTGCAAATCAAACAGAGTAGAATATCGGATCTTAAGAGGGTCTGGAACTGCTGTGCATGAGCCCAGGAAGGATCTCTTTCTTTTTTTTTTTTTTTTTTTTTTTTTTCATTAGAGAGAAGGGGAAAAAATAACACTTGGAGCTACAGGATAGTGGAAGACTGAAAACAACGTGAAGTCTTTTCTCATAACATCTAAATCTCCAATAAATTCCAAAACTCACTGGACATTTAATGTGAGTAGATATTTTTCTGGAAACCCCTAAAGGGGATGAGCTCTAAATCCAGGTCTGTGTGGGACAGAATGACCCATCCAATGAGAATGTGAAACAAGAAACTAGTAAGCCATGAGGAAATAGCTGTGATGAAACCACAGAAGTTAAACAGTGGGATTTGGTCTCCCAAATTATGAATTTAAGGATTAAGTCAAATTTTCAGTAATCTTCATTTGACCAGAACGCCCCAGCTAACTCAGAATTGCATACAGGGAAATGGATTATTTTCAGTTATCAGGCATGTTTAGAAAAGACTACCATATCTCTGAAAAGAAGTGTATATAATATACTTTTATTCAATTATTTACAAGTTATCTGGTTTGTATATCAGAGAAAAAGTCCCATAGCACTAAGAATAGATATACATGCATATGCCCACAAACAAAAATAAGTGAGAAAAACGTCTTTTTGTTTACGTGGAATCAGCAAGCATCTATGCTGTCGAGAATGATTTTAGGAAGAGAGAATAATCCAGAAAAAACAAACCACCTACAATAAAACATGAAAACACTACTACACAAATAGAGCACACGATACCCTTAGCTCACACTTTTGAAATGATTACTATGTGTCAGGTACTATTTTAGAGCTAACTTCTTTAACCTTAGCAATAAGTCGCATCAAATACTATCTGAAATGAGGAAAGTATGGCACAGGAGATGAAAAACTTGTTAAATTTCAGCAAGTGATCGAGCCAGGATTCAAACTCCAGCCATCAGACTCTGGAATTTCTTAACCACTGTGCAGAAGAACTTGGAAAAGTAAACGATAAGTTATGATTCATCCTTTATAAACATGGCAGTTTTGCGAGGAGCATTGGTAGTAACGAGTGTGTGAATTAGTTATTGCTAAGCCAGAGAATGAAGGTACCTCCTAGAAAAAGGATGGCAATACCTTAAAAAATTTATTCTGCTGCTTTCTTTATTTGCATATTTGCAAATTGCAGCATCTATAGAGGGCAATTATCTCCAAAATAAAATAAACATTTTATCTCTATTTCCATGGGTATTGCTAAAAATATCCCTAAACTATGCTATTAAAAAACTGGTCAAGAAATGAAGACCTAGTATAATGTAGACAGAGAAGAACAAGCTAGTTATACAGAAGCACTCTAATAAAGGGAGTTATTGACAGCAATTTTACTATCCAAACAGGATGAGAATATAATAAGCTTATTTTTAATAGTACATGCTGTTTCTTTAAGTGTTTCAGTTTATATACCACATTAAAACATTTTACTATAATTTGAAATTCTGCTGTCTGTGATTCACTTGGGCAGTAAATGTGTTATTCTTTGTTTATAACATATTTATTTTAAGTTACTCTCTGGTAACTTTTCCTAATTGGAGAAGTTATTTTAACAGTTGTTTGTAAAATAAACTCAATTATTCATGTATAGTAACCAGTGAAACTAATTGACAATCTTTCTGTCACAGTTGATTTCAAACACCTCTGTAATGAATCCTGTGACTAATTAAATGCATAAATCCTTAGTAAAAGTAACTGCATTCATAAGACTAATATTAGGTAATTCTGTTTAGATATAGCAAGGAAGAAGCAATTGGAGAATTACTGAATAGACCATCAAAAATGACAAATCTAGAAGAGTAATTAAAAACAAAAAATACATAAGTAAAAATAAGTATTGGTATTTATTTTTCTTGTTGTGTATGCTTAAAATTATAATATTTATCTATAAAATCAAAATATAATATGCAGATTAATGAAATTCACAAAAATAAAAAGAGGAAATATTTAATAAATGTTAAAAATGAGAAATATTTAAAACTATACTGTGGAGGTAGATTATGTATAGGTATGCACACAGAGTTTTTTTTTTTTTTGTATGTAGGAGAAACTAAATCTTTTTCTCACCCTGTTTTATTAACATTTTATAATAATAGATTTATGTAACTGTTACTAAATAAGAAGAGACAGGAAAACAATGAAAATCAAATGAAAATCATAACTGATACCTTTGTCAGGATGGACTATTACAGTTCCATTCAATGGCAACACTGACTGCAACTTTTGGAACACAGTACTAGCCTTCTACTGTAAGACCCAACTAGACAAATAGGCACTTGGGACTTGCTGCTTGGGTACTTCTCGTTTATCAAAAATAAATGCTGGTCTCATGGTAAACATTTGCTCCTTGATATCTACTTCTATTTTTTTAATCACTTAAATAGTATTCTATTAATAACCAAAATGACTTTGTTAGAAGTACCTCAAGGTCATAACTTTGATGACTCTACTATGCCACAGTATACAGAAAATAGCCTTCTTTCTCATTTCGCAGACTTGATGATTCCGCCATTTGAAATAATCTGTCCTTTAAATTACCGGTTCTATTTTTTCCACTTTAATGATAAATTTAATGTTTTGTTAAATGAATTAATATATTTCTTTCCTCTTTGATTGCACTGATTTGATTTGAGTTTCTGCTGTTGGTTACCACAGTACTCCTGACTGCTCTGTAAATCCTTTTTCTTTTATACTTTGAGTTAGCATAGGCCCTGCTAAAATCTTAGCTTCAAACTGTTCACAACTTTGGTTCACATAAAAGACTTCAAATTACCCATGGTATCTTGGTCTCTATTTGCATGTCTTTTCAGCTTCTCTTCCTGCCACTTACTGTGAATTTCTTTAAAATACGAAATCTGGGAATGGGGAAAGTCAAATTTGTTCAATTTTGGTATCATCTTCTCCCTTGACCACATCCATCATGAAAAGCCAACTCACAGAACAAAGGATAACTGGTATATAGATGTATTAGTTATTTCTCACACTGTTATAAAGACATACCTGAGCCTGGGTAATATATAAAGAGAAGAGGTGTAATTGACTCACAGTTCCACATGACTGGAGAGGCCTCAGGAAGCTTACAATTGTGGTGGAAGGTAAAGGGGAAGCAAGACATGTCTTCACATAGGCAGAGCAGGAGGAAGACAGCAAAGGAGGAAGTGCTATACACTTTTAGACAACCAGTTCTCGTGAGAGTGAGTTCACTAGAAGAACAACAAGGGGGAAATCCACCCCCACGATCTAATCACCTTCCAACAGGTCCCTGCCCCAACATTGGGAATTACAATTTGATATGAGATTGGTGGGGACACAGCCAAACCGTATCACTCTGCCCCTGGCCCTTCCCAAATCTCATATCCTTCTCAAATTTCAAAACACAATTATGCCTCATCAACAGTCCCCCAAAGTCTTAACTCATTCCAGCATTAACTCAAAAGTTCAAGCCCAAAGTCTTATCTGAGACAAGGCAAGTCCCTTCTGCCTATCAGCCTGTGAAATAAAAAACAAGTTAGTTACTTCCAAGATACAATGAGGGTGCAGTCATAGGTAAATGCTCACATTCCAAGTGGGAAAAATTTATCAAAACAAAGGCGAGACAGATGCCATGCAAGTCTGAAACCCAACAGGGCGGTCATTAAATCTTAAAGCTCCAAAAGAATCTCCTTTGACTCCAGCTTCTTTCACAGACTGGCATTGAGTAACTGAGGCTTTTCCAGGCATATGGTGCAAGCTGTCAGTGGATCTACCATTCTGGGATCTGGAGGATGGTGGCTCTCTTCTCACAGCTCCAGTAGGCACTGCCACAGTAGGGACTCTGTGTGGGGACTTGATATGATTCGGCTGTGTCCCAACCCAAATCTCATCTTGAATTGTAGCTCCTATAATTCCCACGTGTTGTGGGAGAGGCCTGGTGGGAGTTAAATAAATCATGGGGGAGGGTTTCCTCCATACTGTTCTTGTGGTAGTGAATAAGTCTCATGAGATCTGATGGTTTTATAATGAGAAACCCCCTTCACTTGGCTCTCATTCTCTCTTGCCAGCTGTCATGTAAGATGTGCCTTTCATCTTCCAGCAGGACTGTGAGGCCACCCCAGCCACATGGAACTGTTAATCCATTAAACCTCTTTTTCGTTATAAATTACCCAGTCTTAGGTGTGTCTTTATCAGCATCATGAAAACAGACTACTACAGGACTCTAACCCCACATTTCCACTCCAGTAGAAGTTCTCTACAAGGACTCTACCCCAGCAGCAGACTTTTGCCTGGACATCCAGGCATTTCTATACATCCTTTGAAATGTAGGCAGAGGCTTCTTTGCATCCACAGACCCAACACCATGTGGAAGTCACCAAGTCTTGGGGCATATGCTCTCTGAAGCAGTGGCCTGTGCTGTACTTGACCCCTTTTATTCATGGCTGGAGCTGGAGCAGCTGGGATGCAGGGCACCATGTCCTGAGGCTGCACAGAGCTGTGAGACCCTGGGCCTGTCCCATGAAACCATTTTTCCCTCCTAGGGCTCCAAGCCTCTGATGGAAGGGGCTGCCATGAAAGTCTCTGAAATGTCCTGGAGGCATTTTTCCCATTATCTCCGATGTTAGCATTTCACCTCTCTTTACTTAAGCAAATTTCTGCAGTCAGCTTGAATTTCTCCCAGAAAATGGGTTTTTCTTTTCTACCACATGACCAGGCTGTAAATTTTTCAAACTTGTATGCTCTGCTTCCCTTTTAAATATGTTTCAGTTTCAGACTGTCTTTTTTTGTGTATGCATATTGGCATATACAGTTAGAAGCAGCCAGGTCACATCTTGAACAATTTGCTGCTTAGAAGTTTCTTCTGCCAGATACCCTTGAGGAAGTTCTAGGAAGTTCCAAACTTTCCCTCATGTTTCTGTCTTCTTCTGAGCCCTCCAAACTGTTTCAACTCTGCCCATCACCTAGTTCCAAAGACACTTCCACATTTTCAGGTACTTTTATAACAATGGCCCACTTCTCTGGTACCAGTTTTCTGTATTAATTTGTTTTTGCACTGCTTTAAAGACATACTTGAGACTGGATAATTTACAAAGAAAGGTGGTGTAATTGACTCACAGTTCTTCCTGGCTGGGGAGGCCTCAGGAATCTTACAACCATGGTAGAAGGTGAATGGGAAGCAAGACATGTATTCACATGGTCAGAGCATGAGGAAGAGGGTAAAGGGGAAAGTGCTACACACTTTTAAACAAACAGATCTTGTGAGAACTCACTCACTATCATGAGAACAGCAAGAGGAAAATCCAACCCCATGATTCAATGACCTTCCACCAGGTCCCTCCATAACATTAGGAATTACAATTCAACATGACAGTTAGGTGGGGACACAGAGCCAAACCATATGAATAGGCTAACCTTAAGTCTGATTATTCATATAACAAGGATTTCTAAAAGCTGTGTGACTCATGAGAGCTAAGAGCAAAGCTGTTTCCCACAGAAGGGGTAGATTTTATGATTGATTTGTCTAATATAAGCCATTGCAAACACTCTTTATAAAGATGTTACCTTCCACTAATTCTTAAACCCTCTGCAACCTAATATCCATCCTCACCTTTCAACTTTTTTTTTTTTGGAGGTCAACAAACATGGCCTGTGGACAGATTATTCTAACTTTTGCCAGTCTTCTCCTTGTCTGATCTGTGTATAGCATTGGTCCTATGATTGAGAATCTCCTCCTTGAAGATCTTTTCTGAGAATTTCATAGCAAATATCAAAGAGCAGAGAATTAATGAAGGTAATAAAATTTGTATTTTAAGATATAACTTTGGCACAAAACAGTTTGAGTGGCAAGCCTTGAGGAAAAAATGTAAGTGAAAAAGCTATTGAGGAAATTCTTTTTTCCTACTAAAATTGAGAAAGATATTGAAGTTAAGTCCTTCTCTTCTATGAAAAAATAAGATAAACATGGAATTAATTAAAATCATACTTTTCCCTGAGGCTAGCAGAAAAGGATGGCTGCCATAAAGATGTTTTTTATTATAATCCAGAGAGAAAGGACATTTCATAGATGAGCATATAGACATGGCAGCTTCCATATCTGGGTATAGATGTACAATGGGACTTCATGGAAAATACATATTATAAAAAAAGGCTATGCATGAATTTCAAAGGTTTTTGCACTAAATAAACTTGTACTAACTTGTTATAACATGCCTCAACAAGACTGAGTTTGTGACACTGATAAGACTAAAACATCAGCTTTAAAAAGAGTCCCTATGAGAACAACATGAATTCTGCTAAAATTGAAGCAAGAACAAACATCAAATTTATGGAAATGCTCAGGTAGAGGAATGGATGAATAATTTATATTTTATGTATTAGTCCATTTTCGTGCTGCTGATAAAGACATACCCAAGACTGGGCAATTGATAAAAGAAAGAGGCTTTTTGGACTTATAGTTCCACGTGGCTGAGGAGGCCTCACAATCATGGTGGAAGGTGAAAGGTGTGTCTCACGTGGCACAGACAAGAGAAGAGAGATCATTCAGGGAAGCTCCAATTTTTAAACCATCAGATCTCATGAGACTTATTCACTATCACAAGAAGAGCATGGGAAAGACCTGCCCCTATGATTCAATTACCTCCTACCAGGTCCCTTCCACAAAAACTGGGAATTTAAGATGAGATTTGGGTGAAGACACAGCCAAACCACATCATTCTGCCACTGGCCCCTCCGAAATCTCATGTCCTCAAATTTCAAAACCAATCATGCCTTCCCAGTAGTCCCCAAGAGTCCTAACTCACTTCAGCATTAACTCAAAAGTCCACAGTCCAAAATCTCATCTGAGAAAAGGCAAGTCCCTTTCACCTATGAGCCTATAAAATCAAAAGCAGATTACTTACTTACTAGATAAAATGAAGGTACAGGAATTGGGTAAATACAAGCATTCCAAATGAAAGAAATTGGCCCAAACAAAGGGGCTACAGGCCCCATGCAAATCTGAAATCCAGCAGAGCAGTCAAATCTTAAAGCTCCAAAATGACCTCCTTTGACTCCGTGTTTCACATCCAGGTCACACTGATGTAAGAGGTGGAGTCCGATGGCCTTGGGCAGTTCTGCCCCTGTGGCTTTGCAGGATATAGCCCCACTCTTGTCTACTTTCAGGGCTGGCATTGAGTGTCTGTGGCTTTTCCAGGTGCATGGTGCAAGCTGTTGGTGGATCTACCATTCTGGGGTCTGGAGGATGGTATCCCCCTTCATGCAACTTCACTAAGTGGTGCCCCAGTAGGGACTCTGTGTGGGGGCTCTGATCCCACATTTCCCTTCTGCACTGCCCTACCAGAAGTTCTCCATGAGGGCCCCTCCCCTGCAGCAAACTTCTGCCTGTGTATCCAGGTGTTTCCATACATTATATGAAATATAGGCAGAAGTTCCCAAACCTCAATTCTTGACTTCTGTGCACCCACAGGCTCAACACCATGTTAAAGCTGCCAAGGCTTGGGGCTTCCACCCTCTGAAGCAACAGCTGGAGCTGTACCTTGGTCTCTTTTAGCCATGGCTGTGTAATACCTTTCCTTGTTAGACTCTCCCTTAGCTACCTAACTTTGTTTTAATATGAATAGACTCTCCCTTAGCTGAGAACACCAGAAGGACTCCATTTGGCTCCTTCATTTGCAAGACATCAAGGACTCCTTAACCACCCCCTTCTTTAAGGAGTTAACTTGTATAAGCTGGCTCTCAGCATATCAGAGTCCAGTTAACTGATAAGGCACTGAGCAAGCTGGTGTCCACAGTTCCCAACAATTTACTCAAAGATGGTACCATAAAGCCTCCACATTTATCTGGTAGATAATGCCCAGAGCCCCCTCACCTATCACCCTGTCACTTTATGATGAATTTAAAGCCCCTGTACCTGGAACTGTTTGTTTTTCCTGTAACCATTTGTCTTTTTAACTTTTTTTGTCTGTTTCTCTTCTGTAAAGTTGCTGCAGCTAGAATCCCCCTCCCCTCTCTAAACCAAAGTATAAAAGAAAATCTAGCCCCCTCTTTGGAGCCAAGAGAATTTTGAGCACTAGCTGTCTCTCAGTCATGGGCAAATAAAGGACTTCTGAAATTGTCCCAAAGTGTGGCGTTTCTCTCCGACTCGCTTGGGTACAACAGCTGGGGCAGCTGAAACACAGGGTACAAAGTCTCTAGGCTGCACAGAGCAGGGGGTCCTGGGCCTACGCATGAAACCATCATTGCCTGTTAGGCTTCCAGGCCTGTGAGGGGAGTGGCTGCCATGAAGACCTCTGATATGTCCTGGAGACATTTTCCCCATTGTCATGGGGATTAACTTTTGGCTCCTTGTTACATATGCAAATTTCTGCAGCCAGCTTGAATTTCTCCTCAGAAAATGGGATTTTCATTTCTATTGCATTGTCAGGCTGCAAATTTTCAGAACTTTTATGCTGTTTCCCTTTTAAAACTGAATGCCCTTAACAGTCACCGCTTGAACACTTTGCTGCTTAGAAATTTCTTCCACCGTTTACACTAAATCATCTCTCTGAAGTTCAAAGTTCCACAAATCTCTAGGGTAGGGGCAAAATGCCACCAGTCTCTTTGCTTAAACATAACAAGAGTCACCTTTGCGCCAGTTCCCAATATGTTCCTCATCTCCATCTGAGACCACCTCAGCCTGGATTTCATTGTCCATATCATTATCAGCATTTTGGTCGAAGCCATTCAACAAGTCTCTCAAGAGTTCCAAACTTTTTCACATCTTTCTCTCTTCTTCTGAGCCCTCCAAACTGTTCTAACCTCTG
This sequence comes from Homo sapiens, assembly GCF_000001405.40. Lineage (NCBI taxonomy): Eukaryota > Metazoa > Chordata > Mammalia > Primates > Hominidae > Homo > Homo sapiens. Next base: position 70,809,246 of record NC_000013.11, on the reverse strand, counting down.
CCTGTTTCCCAGTTCCAAAGTCACTTCCACGTTTTTAGGTATCTTTTCAATAGTGCCCCGCTCTACTGGTAACAATTTACTGTATTAGTCAACTTTCATGTTGCTGATAAAGACATAGCCAAGACTGGACAATTTACATAAGGAAGAGGTTTATTGGACTTACAGTTTCATGGGGCTGGGGAGGCCTCACAATCATGGCGGAAGGTAAAAGGCATGTCTCACATGGTGGCAGACAAGAGAAGAGAGCTTGTGCAGGGAAACTCCCCTTTTTAAAACCATCAGATCCTGTGAGACCTATTCACTACCATGAGAACATCATGGGAAAGACCTGTGCTCCATGATATAATCACCTCCTGCCAGGTCCCTCCCACAAAAATGTGTGAATTCAAGATGAGATTTGGGTGGGGACACAGCCATACTATATTATTTTACAAATGTTTCTGGGGCCAATGCCTCAAAGAAATCAACAGTTTAAAAATTGATAACTCTTTTTAAAGATAATCCCAGATATATAAGACTGTGTTGAAGATGAACCTGACAGCAGCAGATCATTTACATCAATTTGTGAGAAAAAAATTAATTTTATTTGTGCCCTAATCGAAGAAGACTGATTATAAACAGCAAAAATAGCCAACACCACACACATCTCAACTGGTCCAGATTACACAATTGAGAGTGAAAAATTAAAATTGAGTAAACTTTCCATTTGATGGATGCTAAAACTGTTGTGCCCACAACAGCTGCAGACAAGAGCAAAACTTTCCATGGAAAATTTGAACATGTAGGATCAAGATCTTGAAGCATTTCTTCTAAGATTTGTAATGTCAGATGAAATGTGACTTTACCAATATGATCCTGATGACAAAGCCACAAGCAAAGCAATGGCTATGAAGAGATGGTAGTGGTCCAGTCAAAACAAAAGCAGACCAGTCAAGAGCAAAGGTCATAGCAGCATTATGTAGGAAACTTAAGGGATTTTGCTTGTTGACTTTCTGGAGGAACAAATAAAGATAACAACTGCTTATTATGAGACTGTTCTGAGAAAGTTAATGAAAGCTTTAGCAGAAAAATGCCTGGGAAAGCTTCATCAGAGAGTCTTTCTTCATGATGACAATATTCCTGCTCATTCCTCTCATCAAACAAAAGCAATTTTGCAAGTTTTGAAGGGGAGTTATGAGGCATTCATATTATAGTCATGATTGGACTTTTTCTGACTTCGTTTTGTTTTCTAACCTTAAAAAACATTTAAAGGTACCAATTTTTCTTCAGTTAATATTGTAAAAAAATTAAATAACATTGACCTGACCAAATTCCCAGGACCCTCAGTTCCTTAAGGATGGACTAAATGGTTGTTGTTATCATTTACAAAAGTGTCTTGACTTTCATGGAGCTTATGGTGAGAAATAAAGTTTATATTTTTTTATTTTTATCTTTAAATTCAATTTTTCCACAGACTTTTTGAAATTTCTTTGCATAATATAGGTATGAGCCTAGAAAGGCTGCCCTTGTCATAGATGGTGACTTTCTAGGAAGGAGCAGAAGCTAGTCAAACCTTAATGATTATATAAGTTGGCAAGATGGAATTAATAGAAAAATGTCCAAATGCAAAACAAATTGTTTGCTTCACAACTATCCTTTACACATCATGCCCCTATTTTGTCAAGAAACCAGCTGAAAAGCAGAGAGGACTCATATAGTCATATACATTGTGGCAATGTTTGGAATGTGTGTCCCTAGAGAAATTGCATATAAATGGGAACCAGTAAACTAAAACAGCTGAATCTAAAGCCCAGGTCAAATGCTGACATGATCAAAAAGGTGGCAGCAGCAGCAGAAGTAGCAGCAATAAAGTAGATGGAGGTTGGAGTAATCACAACTGGGCTCAGTAGAATTAAAACCATAGCTCAAGTATAACACACTTGAACTTAAGACCTGAAGAATCTGAATGATCAGTTTTTCATCCCCTAATCACCAGACTGAGAGAAAGGCTCAGGTTCTGTGCAGAAAAGTAAAATAAAAAAATTTTAAAAACAAGACAAAGCATTCTCCTTAATTTTCTGAATACACTAATAAATTATGTGATGTGAAGGAAGTAGAAAAAGGTGACACATTAAAAAGAAAAATTGCAATCAATAAAAAGAGGTACATAGATAAACTAGTTATTGAGATAGCAGGTGTACTAGTTTGCTCAGGCTGACATAACAAAACACCATAGACTCAGTGGCTTAAACAAAAGAAATTTATTTTCTAACAGTTCTGGGGGCTAGAAACCCAAAGTCAAGGCTTTTGCTCTTTTGGTTTCAGGTGGGAGTTCTTACCTTGGCTTGCAGAAAGTTTTCTTATTGCTCTTTCCATGTATAGTCCTTCCTTAGTCTGTGTGGATAGAAAAAGAGGGACAGACGGTGAGCTCTCAGGTATCTCTTCATCTAAAAACATCAATCCTTTGGATTAGTAGATTAATCCTATTGGATCACCATCTGTATGACCTCATTTAACCTTAATTACTTGCTTAGTAACCCATCTCCAAATATAACTACACTGGGGGTTAGAGCTTCAATATATGAATTTTGGAGGACAAAAGCAATCACTCCTTAACAGAAGAAAAGGATTTCAAAACCGCTATACTGTATTAAATATTTACACACTTAAAATGTGAAGATATAGTCTATTCAAAAAATAAATTGAAACCCTAATGATAAAAATTGAACAAAATACTATTTCTGAAATCATAAATTCATTCAAGAGAATTAATAGCATTTTGGACCTAAGGAAAAGGTTATAGAATTTGAAGGTAGCTCAATAGAAGTTATCCAAACTGAGGCAGAAAGAGATGCATCAATGTACTGTAATAAATTGTTAAGATAACTGGTGTCTCCAAGGAGAAAAGGGTGGAAAAAGTATTTGAGAAAAAAATGGTAATTTTTTTTAAAATTTGATTTAAAACATCAACTAATAATTCCAGAAGTTAAAACAGCAACAGCAGCACCAATAGAAAGGGCAGCAGCATCAAGAACAAAACCATGATGGATGAATACAGAGAAAAACCGCATACAGACATACCTCAGTCAACTTTCTCAAAACTCAAGTTAAAGAGAAATTCTTAAAGCAGGCAGAGGTGAAAGAGACAAATTCTAAGGAATGACAATAATAATGATGGCTGAATTCTCCTCAGAAACAATACAAGTCAGAAGACAACAGAACGGTATTTTTTAAAATCAATAGAAAGACAAAGCAGGATAAATGTGAATGAAATCATGCCTGAGCAGATCAGAGTTAAATGACTGAAAAATTAAACATACAAAGGCATTTTTGAAAGTAAAAAGAATAAAAAATTACACATTACTTATATAAACATATAGCTAGACACATAAATGTTCAGAATTTAAATATACATACACATATAATTAAAATACAATACATTTCTCATCTAAATCTATATGAAGTCTAGAAGAGAGTAAAGAGTAGAGGGAAAAAAATGCTAAAAGAAACTAAAATGCCAACCTAGATTTTTATATCCAGTATAAAAAAGTTTCAGATAGAAGAAAACTAATGTAATTCATTGCCAGCAGACTGATGCTATAAGTAATGCTAAAGTATATTCTTTATCCTGAGGACCTTTATCCCTACTGAAAATCCAGATTTTTAAGAGAGAACAAAGAACATCAAAAATGGTAAATATGTAGGTAAATGCAAATAACTATTTCATCTGAATTTCTTTAAAATACTTATGAGAGTTTTAAGGAAAAATATTGTAACATTTACTTGTGCAGTTTATAATCTAAGTACACAGGGCAATAATAGCATAGAAGATGACAAGGGGAACATATAAACTGAATGTTTTCATGTTTTTTTGTATTTGTGGGAATTAGTACAGTCTAACTTCCAAGTAACTGAAAAAGTTAATGCATGTGTATCTTAATCCTTAGAGTCAAATGCCAAATAATACAAAATGTATAATTAAAAACACAATATGAAAATTAAAAGTATCTTTGACAAATTTTATAATCCAAAATATATTAGGAAAACTTAAACAAGAAAACTAAAAGAGACACACAGAAAATATATAATGGTGTACTTTTATTTGACCATTACTTTAAATAATTATGGAGAAACAATCCAATTAAAGGCAAAGACCGAAAGAATGGACAAAACAAAATCAATTCCTAAATATGTACTCTCTACAGGATACATACATTAACTAAAAAGCAACCAATAATTTGACAGTAAATTTTTAAAAAGACATACTATGTTTAGGGTAAGCATAAGAAGTCTAGGATGGGTGTTAATATCAGTCAACATATATACTAAGAAAAAGATTGTTAGCAGGGAACTATGAAATTTTATGATGATAAATAATTCATCAGGAAAAGATAGAAATTATATATGTTGATGTGAGTGGTTACCTGAAAAAAATCGACAGAACTAAAGGATGAAATGACAATACTACAATCATTGTTAGAGATGATGAACCTCTCTTTTATCAAATGACAGAACAACTAGAAAAAGTCACCAAACACATAGATGATTGAACACTGTCTACCACATTGACCTAATAAATATATATGAAACTATATATTCAATCATTTCAGAATAATTATTTTGAATTCATATGGTTTACTATGTACTGGGCCTTAAAACAAATCTGGATACATCTAAAAGAGGCAAGTCATTCAGAATATAGTAAAAAAAATTAAATTAAAAACAAACATCAAAATGATAATTAGGGAGATCCCCCAAAGTATTTTAATTATAAAAACTCAGATTAAAAGTAAAACGTTGGGACCAAGATATAGCATGCAAAACCTAACCACATGGTAGCTAATCAAGTTATATTTTATCAAAGTTTGAGGCAAAGAATACTAAGTAAAGAAGGACATGTTATAAAAGTGAAAACATCAACTTATCAGAGATGCAACAATCCTAAATGTGTACACTACTATTACCAGATGTTCAAAATACATGAAACAAAAACTGATAGAACTTAAACAGAAATAAGTTAAACTACAATTACAATGGAAACTTTTTTTTTTTTTTTTTTTTTTTGAGACGGAGTCTCGCTCTGTTGCCCAGGCTGGAGTGCGGTGGCACGATCTCGGCTCACTGCAAGCTCCGAACCCCGGGGTTCACGCCATTCTCCTGCCTCAGCCTCCCGAATAGCTTGGGACTACTACAATGGATACTTTTTAAAACATTTTTCTTTCAGTACTCAATAGAAGTAATAATAATAAAAAAAAAAAAAGTAAGGATGTAGAAGATTTAAAGAACCTTATTAAAAAAATTAAAAATAATTGACATTATGGCCACTACATTCAATAACCGAATACAAACTTTTTAAGCTTAATGAAAAACAAGCCAAATGCTATACTATAAACAGATACTAAAAATTTGCAAGAAATCGCATAGATAAGATTCTTTGATCATAACGAAAAGGTCATATTTGGAATGAAATTATATTGAAAATTATATTCGGAAAATCTCCATATTCTTGAAAATTAGCTAACACACTTCCAAATAATCCTTTAGGTAGGAAATGGCAAGACAAAAGAAATATTTTCAGTTAGATAATAAGGAAAACAAATAACAAAATTTTTGGAAAGCTGTTAAAGCAATTAATAAATCTACATACTAATATTGAGAGAAGAAAAACTGAAAACCAATGACCTGAACATCCATCTTAAGAAACTAGTGAAAGGAACATAAATGGAATATTATGCTACTTAAATGAAGGAAATAATAAAAGTAAAATTGAAAATTAATGAGTGAAAACAGATAAGGGAAAGAAACAGATTGAAACCATTGAAAACATTGATAAACCACAAGAAAGGCTGGCTAAACAAAATAGTGACTCAAATTATAAATATTAAGAATGTATAAGGAGCTATGATTGCAAATTATATAGACATTAAGACTATAATCAAGGAATTTTATAATAACTTGCACTAATAAATTAGTAATGTTGATGCGATAATTAACCAATAAGTAGTATTATTTAGGTAAAACAAAGATTATTTGTTTTGGGCCAAGTTGCATTGCTTCTGGTTCTGCCAAAGTATGAAAAGACTTTTATAAATAATCAGTTGGAGAAATCAGGTCAAGCTATAGATCTAATGCCATCTCACAAATTGTGCCTGTCATCTGACTTCACTGCACTATATAGATTTGTTTAACTTACAGAAAATAATTTTTGCAGTCATAAAGGTTTCGTTCAGAAAAGCCCTGATAACCTCTTAGGTATGCATCTAGTTCCTTATATTCAACTAATATTTATAGTATTCCTATTTTGATACTTATCCTTTAATTCAATAAGCTATTATCTAATTGTTTCAATTACTTATTGAAATCTTCAAAGGTAATCCTTGGTAACTTATGTAGCAGTCAAGAAGTTTAGTAAGTTTAATCCTACTGAACATTACTACCTTTTCTAGGGCATTATGAATCTTGGGCCCTTCTTCTATCTAATTGCTGCCCATAGTAATTGGTAAATTTTTGTAATTGTATAAAAAGTGAGAAAACCTTAACTCCCTCGGATGTTTTCTCTTCCTGTGTCAAAAAACGCAAATGAGATTTGGAAGTACAGTCGCTTCTTGGTCTGAAAAATCACACTAGCCAATACAGGACTAACCTACTGAATTAGCACTGTGAATATATACAAGATATTTTTGATAATTAAGAAAACCGAAGGGTTTTATAGTGAACAAGGAGGTACACCATAGGAAGTAGAACCAACTTTCCCACCTTCAACTTTGAGGCAGTTTCCACATACAAATTACTTTCCTAGGCTTTCAGTATTGCATCGCACCAGTTACAAATCGAAATATTTGAGAATGTGTTTTAGCTTTCTAAGTTGATAAATATTACTGTATTATGACCTCGTGTGTAAAGCTATGTCTTTTCTCATAACGGAAATTTGGTAAAACCTCAGAGATGATTGGATGTGTGGATATTTACTTAAGGGTTGGGGTGATAATTTTTAGGTGAGTAATCAAGTAAAGACATGCATAATTCTCACATTATTACATATTATTTCATAAAATTTTGCCTTCTTTTCAGTAAAATTACTAATTATGTTATTTTAATCAAGATCTTCATGTATTTTGTGTCCTAGTGACAGAAATGCCAATTTAGACAAACTTCTGATTTGTTGAATTTGGAGAGATTTTGTTCTGCTGAAAGAGTAGCAATTAAATTGTCAATATCATTTTTTAAACAATATTTATATTGAGAAATGAACCATGAGTTTGACATATTATGTTTAAACATTATAATTAGGTAGCTGAAGATAATCAATCAAAAATTACAGAACACTTTACTGTTATTATATGATCGTGATATATTTTATCATTATTTTTACACTTATTTAAACCAATATCTAGAGCTATAAAATATGTTAAGTGTGTACTTTTTTCAAATTTTTCAATGCTATGTGGGATATTATAAACAAAACCAAAATTAATCAAATATTGCTCAATTCGTTCAAATCTCTGACCAATGGGAATTATACTTTTACCTGTAATGGCAAGTGCTAGAATATACTGAGATGACTTTGAAGAATATGTCTCCTTTGAAGTAAAACAAATATTTTTCCTTCCCTATTCTTTTCTTATTTTTTTATTGGAATGACATTTTTGTTCCATATTTCACGTATGATTTCTTTGACTTAAAAATCCATTATCTCAAAAATACATTTTTTGAAAGTTAAATAGCAAAGTTAGACTTGTTGAGTGGTTTGTAAAATTTTCTAATACTATTAATAAAAAGCAGCTGTTCATAACCATATAATTAGATAGTAAAGGGTCAAAATGAATTTCATTTATGTCAAAGACTACAATTTACTTACTGTTTACTTAAAGAACTTCTCTTGCTTTGCTTACATGTACTGCATCATGCATTTTGTATAAATCAAATCTAATTTTTTTAACAGTGTTTAGTTGACATTCTTTTTTTTATTGACATTCTCATTGTATATCTGAGAATTGTCATTAGGTCAAATGTTATATGGATTAACTAGCTTTAATTTCATATGTAGTATATTTTGTTTCCCTATTTTATATGAAAATACAAAAGTAGTGATACCCCAAGGACTCTAAATATTTGCACCACCCATTGAGAAGTAGGGATTCCCTTTACGAGAATCCTCAATGTGACCATATCTATGCACAGATATATTCATATTTTCTTTTGTTTTGTTTTGTTCTGTTTTTGTTTTAAGACTGTGTCTTGCTCTGTAGCCCAGACTGCAGTGCAGTGGCATGCTCATGGCTCACTTCAGACTAGACCTCCTAGGCTCAAGCAATCCTCCCACCTCAGCCTCTCCAGTACCTGGGATCACAGATGTGCACCACCAAGCCCAGCTATTGTTTTATTTTTAACTTAAAAATCTTTTTTTTTTTTTTTTTGGTAGCGATGGGGGTTTCCCAATGTTACCCAAACTGGTTTCAAAGTCCTGAGCTCAAGTGATCCTCCCAACTTGGCCTACCAAAGGGCTGTGTTTACAGGCATGAATCATTGTGTTTGGCCATATTTTCTAAACATATAAATTATTCTTTTCCATCACTCTCAATTATTTGAAATTTTTAAATGTATTAGTAAAGGTATGTAAATTTATATGTGACTTTTCTAAGGCCAAATTCATTTTTCTCATTTCTCTCTTTCTCTCTTTCTTTCTTCCTAGTCCATTTCCATGGGTACTACATTAATAGAGTTCTTCAAATTAGCATCCCCAGATATTTTCTCATCCTGAACTGATACAAGCTACACAAGTCTAGCTTTCACTTAATGATATCAATTAAATTTTAGCCCCTTGTTTCACTATGTAGCTATGAAAGAGGAAGCATGTATCAGTTAAATTTATGATTTTATTCTCTATGTTTTTCTTACTATAAATGATTTATTTTTTATAGCTCACATTCACAATAATTAGTGTTATGACTGGAAGACATTGTTCAATAAATTCTAGATTACATCTGATTTGTGCGTATTACTCGATCAGACTAAAGATTTGTATAGAAATATGAACTATCAGCTTCAAATTAACTCAGTCATAGTAAACTACCTGTTAATTGAGTCATTAGAGGGAACTGTGCTATTTAGTTTCTCTAGGTTAACCAGGCAGAGCTCAAAAATCAGCAGTGGTGTAATCCTATTTCTCCAGAAAAAAGTTCAGTGTTTCCTGCAGGCATTGGCCATTAGTGAGTACCTTATCTGAGGGCTGTGCCTAAGTGTGACGTTTTTTTGCTTGGAGGTGTTCTCTTGAGAAGGTTGGCATTATGTTTGACTTTTTCCCAGAAAGGGGTGGAGATGATAGCTTGAGGTTCTTTTCTAAATTGAAATTGGTTTTATAAACTGGTTGATGTGTGCTTTGCAAATGAAAGACCAAAAGCGAATGAAATAACTTCATTCTTAAACTATATTGCAGTCACCTAGTAGACATATTCAAGAAGAAATAAAAAATAGCGGAAACTCACAAAATACATACACATACGAAATATTCTAGACGCTAATGAGTTTATTATTCAGCTGGTTTTAACATCTATGAAGCCACCTTATTTAAGTTGTCAGGTAAGGCTATAGTATCCACATTAAATTTATGTTTAATGGTTAATCATTTTAAACATTATAAATATATAAATAGACTCAAAATTTTAATTGATGAATGTATTTTATATGTTTGAAATAATTTAAACGAATGCATTCTGTAAATTTTAATTTTTTTTCTTTTTTTTTTTTTTTTTTTTAGATGGAATTTTGCTCAGTAGCCCAGGCTGGAGTGCAATGGCGTGATCTTAGCTCACTGCAACCTCCGCCTCCCAGGTTCAAGCAATTCTCCTGCCTCAGCCTCCAGAGTAGCTGGGATTTCAGGTGCCCACCACCACACCCGGCTAATTTTTGTATTTTTAGTAGAGACAGGGTTTCACCATGTTTGTCAGGCTGGTCTTGAAATCCTGACCTCAAGTAATCCACTTGCCTCGGCCTCCCAAAGTGTTGGGATTACAGGCGTGAGCCACCGTGCCTGGCCCAATTTTAACTTTTAATTAATGCAGCAACTGAATCTAAACAAAACACATATAAAATGTCTGTATCTGAATGTAATTGCCTTGGTAATTCTGTTGCAAAGGATCAAAGTTCTATCAAAAAATAATTTAAATTCCAATTTTTAAATCGAAAGCTGTATTGAGATAACTGTAAATTTACAGGTAGTTATAAGAAATAATACAGAGCTATCTTTGTACAGTTTGCCAATTTCCTCCCAAAAGTAACATTTTGCAAAACTATAAGACCACAACCATGATACTGACAGTGACACGATACACCCACCTTTTCCATATTCATGATATTTTACCTGTACTCATTTATGTGTGTGTGTGATAATGTTCTCAAATTTTATAACCAGTATATGTTTGTGTATCCAACACCATAGGCAAAAACTAAAACAGTCCAATAAAATAATTTCTTATGTTGCCCTTAATAACCACACACACTTTCATTTTCCCTCCCCATTCTTAATTATATTCAATCTCTGGTAACACTAGTTCATTATAAAAATAACTTTGACAAGTTAAAAATAAAGGAGAATTACATCAACTTCATAAAGCATATTTTAAAAAAGCCTATAGCTAACAGCATACTCATAATGAAAGACTCAATCATTTCACCTTAAGACTGGGACAAGGCCAGGATGACTGTTCTCACCACTCTTTTTCAACTTAGTACTAGAAGTTCTAGTCACTGAAATCAGGCATGAAGAACAAATAAAAGTCATGCAAACTGCATAGGAAGAACTAAAGCTATTCCTATTTTCTGGTCTACATAGAATATCCTAAGGAATTTCTACAAAAATGTCCTACAACTAATAAATGAATTCAGCAAAACTGCACAGTACAATATTGTCACACACAAAAAGTCACATTTTTATATATTAACAGTATGGAAAACAAATTAAAAAATAGAAGACCATTTAGATTCACTGTGAAGAAAATTGAGTGCCAAAGTATACAAGTAAAAACACACGTATAGGATCTATTTGTGAAAAACTACAAAATGCAGAGATCGCGCCACTGCACTCCAGCCTGGGTGATGGGGCAGGATTCTGTCTCTAATATATATATGTATATAACAAAACGAAGATGAAAGAAATTAAGGAATACCTAAAAAATGGAGAGATATACTGTGTTTATGGATTGGAAGTTCCAAAATAGAAAATATGTCAGTTCTCCTCAAATTGAGCTATAGGGTTAAAGCAATTCCTATCAGAATGCTAGCAACATTTATTGCCAACATGGACAAGCTTATTCTAATATGTATATGGAACAACTCCAGTTTTAATAATGAAGAAATTTTACAAAGTAATGCAACTGTGCTAAAAGCTAATGAATTCATAAAAACCTCAAATGAGATCTTTAAACTCAAATTTTCTTCATGTCCTCTTATAATATGGGCACTGTTTTGTCTGCTATGCTTATCACATTCTGCTGTTGACAGTATAAAATGGGCAGATTTTACCTGTTAGAGTTATCACATTTTACTATTTATAGCACAACATGAGGATATTTTTATTAGCTACAGGTAGCTCAGTAAGTCATCAACAAAAATCACTCACATAAAAGAATTTTATGGAATGTTCTGTTTTAAACTATGAAGTTAGGTAGCATGGGAAAACTACTAGAATCACAGAGATGTGAGTAGACCAATAAAGACAATTATGTTATTTATTTACATCATGTTAAAACTTTAAAAGTTAGCAATAACGTATTATAAAGAGAAGTACAATGTTTAAAAGTCCATAGGAAAAGGCTATTTTAAGTTTTTTTAATTTTTTAATTTTTATTTTTGAGACAGAATCTCACTCTGTTGCCCAGGCTAGAGTGCAGTGGCGCGATCTCAGCTCACTGCAACCACCGTCTGCCAGGTTCAAGCAATTCTCCTGCCTCAGCCTCTCAAGTAGCTGGGATTACAGGCATATGCTACCACGCCTCGCTGATTTTTTGTATTTTTAGTAGAGATGGGGTTTTGCCATGCTGACCAGGCTGGTATTGTGTTTTTTTAATGGCATTTTGCATGTGCCTGAGAGCAAAACAAGCATGGGATTTATTAAAAGTTTGTAATGGGCCAGGCGCGGTGGCTCATGCCTGTAATCCCAGCACTTTGGGAGGCAGAGGTGGGTGGATCACCTGAGGTCAGGAGTTCGAGACCAGCCTGACCAACACGGTGAAACCCCGTCTGTACTTAAAAAACAAACAAGCAAACAAACAAAAAACAGGAAACTTAGCCAGGTGTGGTCACATGCACCTGTAGTCCCAGCTACTCAGGAGGCCGAGGCAGGAAAATCGCTGGAACCTGGGAGGTGGAGGTTGCGGTGAGCCAAGATTACCCCCATTGCACTCCAGCCTGAGTGACAAAGCAAGACTCCATCTCGAAAAAAAAAATTAATGAACTGGAATGGAGTCCAGACTTTCTACATACAATAAAAAGTGCTGGCACTTGGAATACTGCAGTCAAAGGAGTATTATGAGTATTAAATTAGTGATATTGATAATTTTTTAGAGCAGTGCCTTATACATATAATCACTTATCACACTAATAAAAATAAATGTAGTAAGAATTATAACCTAGGAAGCCGGTAGAAATGGATTAAAATCTTGACTTTACCACTTCACTGCATGACCTTGGACAAGCTGCTTGAACTCTTTGAACATACTGGTATCATCTGTAAATTAAGAATGATGACATCTAACCAATTTTATAGAGAATAAATAACACAATGTTTTAAATACTTAGTACAGTGCAAGGTGCATAATAAATAAATGGTTGATGACCTCTAGATATTAGGTTCATATACACTATGGCCTGACGATAATATTTATTTATTTTCATTCATTCGTCATTCATTCATTCATTCATTCATTCATTCAGTTGTATGGTTTTTAGTTATACACCTGCATTGAGTTAGTGTGTCCAGAGTTAGCTTAAGTAAAAAGAATGGCTTTTATAATTTTATTAGGGCCTTGAATTCAAGTGACTATGAAATGAGAGAAAGTAGCTGCAAAGCGTTCTCAAGAATGATTTTAGTCAAAAGAGCATTAGACTAAGACTCATGACACATGAGTTCTTACTCTCAGCTCAACTGCATAAGTGTTGCCTCTTTCATAAATTACTTAATCATTCTGCATCTCAGTTTTAGCATCTGAAAAAAATACGTGTACCCTGGTATCAGTTTTGCCAACTCTCAGAGTTGTGGAGATGATCAAAAGAGACAATTAATGCAAGTTTGTGAATTTCAAATGTCACGAAGCACCGTATTATAAAGGGTGAACCATGCTGAGTAGTGATATGAACAAACCTAATAGCCAACATAACAAATGCCTAAACAACCTCTTTCATAGGAAGTACATCTGGTGGCCAGATGAGGCATAAATAGCAATAAGAGCTTTAAGAATAAGTATTAAAACATTTTTTTTTTCAGTAGGAGGATAAGAAACACTATAACTGCTAAAGCCTGCCGGTACAGCTGTATTGCAAAGTGAATACAGTAATTTGTATGGGGTAAAATACTATCACTATGAAAAGTCCAAGTCCCTCTGGTGGTGATATACATAAAAGGTCGTCTAGGTTAGCTAATGTAGGCATCCTGAGTACAAATGCCAAAAATACTTGTCTTTTTGGAGTGAAATAGTGAGAACCATCCAAGCATGATGCCAATGTAGAAAAAGGGAAAACGAGAGAGAGAGAGAGACAGAGAGAGAGAGAGAGAGAGAGAGAGAGAGATTTATGCATGTATATTTTTCTTCTGTACACAGATGATAGATATATGCACTTTTTTCTGTAAAATTATTGTTGTAAAATTATAAAACATTGTGAAACACTTCAACTAATTAAAAAGCAGGTACTGACAGTATTGATGGAAAAGAGTTACATATATGATATGTTACCATCATAATAACTTTGTATTCTCTAATCCCACTCATCTCAGAATACAACTTTTAAAAACAGGCTGGGAGTGTATGATAAAATTCTCAGTCAATGATTGACAGTAATATTCAGTCATATAGATGTATTCAGTACTAAATGAATTAAGGTCCTTTACTGCCTATTACACTTAATTATAGAAAAATTAAATAATAACAAATTTTGATTTTTAGGAGAAAAATGCTGCTTCAACTTTTCTTTAATATGTTTAAAGGACACAGAAACTTCTGAAATACAGAGATATCGAAACTATAATAATTATGTATTTTTCAGAAAATAATAAAAGTGACATCATTCAATTCCATTTTAAATAAACTGAATTTTCTAACAAACACATATTTTAATCTAATAAAGGATTGTTAAGGGTCAGGCCATCATTATATTAACCTGGAACTTAAGATAAAATACACTTGTTGAATTTCAAAGATGTGCCTTAAAAAACTAGCATAGGTGGTAAAAAGATTACTGAGAAATTTCTCTGGCCATATGGTCTCAGGGGAGTTAGTAGTTTTTGTTGTTGTTGTTCAGAGGTCACTTCAAATTGCTCAACCATGATTAATGTAAATTCGAAGCTAGAAACATAAATGACAACAAAAACATTAAAATCCCATGAAAAGTTTAAATAACATTTGAAATATACTTATAAAATAATATTATTACTACATATTTTAAATATAAAATATAAAATTTCCACTATTAAACACACACAATCATTAGAAAAAGAATGGAAAACAGAAAAATCAAAAGACTAGAGGAAAAAGTACACTCATGTTCCCATTTTAAGATCATTACTAACATCTTTGAAAAATGAGTACTCTCATACACTGACAATAGAAGGGTAAATTATATCTTTTAGAAATTCCATATATTGTAAGATTCAGCTCTGATATGGTTGGAAAATAATGTGATAATTTATTTCCACCAATAAATAAAAATTGCATAAAACACTCAATATATCAGATCTCAAATGTTAATATTTCCATTCAAGTTTGAGAAAAATGATTCACTTCTATTGAATATTTTGAAAGATTTCAATTAATATCTATAAAATATTTAGATGTTTTTTCTTTCCGTGGAGAGAGTAAAGCCAGTACAACCCAAAAATAACTTATTTCTGACATTATATGTATTATATATGTTAGATTTGGATGACATCATATCCTGCATAAAATAGTGAAGAATGCGATGCCCTATTAATTGTTGTATTAATTGTACTGGCAATCCTCAAACAATACAAAATATAACAAACTCAGAATAAGCAGGCCAAAAGCAAAATATCCTAATGTGTGTACTTAGCCATCTGCCTCTGTATCTAAAATCTTTACCCCAGAGAAAATTTCCAGAAGTCATTTTGAAAGAGTTTATATATGTCAATTATGGCTGTCAAGTATCAAAGGCATGGAAGAGAAGCTTACAGTTTATAGGCTATGCTGATTCACAGCTTGAACAGTAAAATTTTTATTAAATGGGGGAGGGGTAGTCGGGCCAAGTTCCCATTTACACATTATTCTCGAAGGACTTCTGAAGCTATCAACTTTCTTACCTTTGTGTTTTCAATCTATACAATGTGTAGTTTTGATATAAGGGAGAAGATGATTGAGCCTCTGGTCCATATTTATTTTACCAGCTAAGATACCCAGGGACAACGTGCAGATTTATATATCAGCAACTCATTCCTTCATATATTTATTCAGTCAGTTTTGAAAACCTACTGTGTGCTACACAAATATTTTCAAATAACCTAATTATTTTGACAAAGACTGTCAGTTATTTTACATTTTTCATTTATTTTCAATTAGAAAACACCTGCTAGTGGAGCAAGTTTTCCATTTACGGTTAGCATTTTCTGGAAGAATAGTTTTAAAACACAAATTAGTAAATATTTATTAACAAGTCATTGAAATTAAGCCTTATTTTCTTTAGCTACATTTTCCCTTGACCAGTGAAATAAAATATGGAAAAAAATAAATATAAAAAATTTAACCCACAGACTCTTTCATATTGTAGATATGTCTTATAAAATATGGGCTACATAGCAAGATGCACCCAGTGTATCTTTGTTTAGAATCATGTTGTATCAAATATCACCTCTATTTATGAAACTTCCATAAAACAGCAAAACTAATTTCTAATATATTCAATTCAAGGGGTTAGTAACAGACCTCAGTCCTTGTGTAACATTCCCACTAATGGGACAACAGAGACAAAGTCAATTTGTGTTATAAGAATAAACAATAGGAGCTAAAACAAAATATTTGTTTAATTAAGTGAAATGAATGCATTTTGATCGAATTTCTGTCTTTTTAGACAATCTTAAATACAATATCTGACACATCTTCGCCGGTCCCATGTATTTCTGCTCATCTCTTAAAGCAACATATTGACTGCTCTTTGTTACAGAATATGCTTTTAAAGATTTTTTCTTTTATAGTAAACAGCTTTGGATGATATAGATAGAACAAAAGCCAGTCATGTTTATGGTCCTGTGCAATAAAAATAATTCTTCCTTTTGGGACAAAAAGCAGGCATGATGAATACCATTATGAAATCAAATTTCCTCTCCTGAAATGCAACCCACTGTGTGTGCAGACATCCAGCTTGTCCCATTGATGTTGCTGCTGAGCAACATGGAAGCAAGGGTAACTAATACCAAGGAGCTGATCTCATGTTGCCTTCTCTGCCAGGAGTCTCCTCCACCC
Organism: Homo sapiens; assembly: GCF_000001405.40. Taxonomy (NCBI): domain Eukaryota; kingdom Metazoa; phylum Chordata; class Mammalia; order Primates; family Hominidae; genus Homo; species Homo sapiens. Next base: position 70,792,585 of record NC_000013.11, on the reverse strand, counting down.
AGGAGCCTGGTGCCTTCTATCAGTATCCTGGAGACTATGGAAGGCTAACTCGTTAGCTTGTAAGTGGGGGGATATACCAATCCCTTCACAGTTCTTGAGGCGTACAGGCCAGAAACCCAGGTAGATAATGTAATAAAAGGATGACTAAGATATCATAACTGATTTTGAGAAGATTGACTTGTCAATTGTTACAGTCCGTGTTATGCAGTGATTTGTGGATGGAACTGCAGGATCACAGAAGGAGGTTTTTTCTCTGTGCTGCCTTCTAGAGGGGATGACATGTAATGGAGAGATGCCATATTTTATGTATGTTGCTCATTCTTGTACTGAGATGTGTTTACATTCTTCTTTTTTTAAAAGATATTTATCTAACATGAATTTATTTATCAAGAAAGGATTTTCAACTTTCCCAAATACCTGACCAGGGTGTATGGGGATAATATTTTTTCTCCTAAGACAATAATGATGGGTAATATAAGATACATCCTAATATGGAAACATCATTACGTTTATGAAATAAACCCTATTTGGTCATGGTTTACTACACTTGTAATATGTGCATTCTCTTCTTGAAAATTTTACTAAGAATTTCTATGTAAATATCATAATAGGAATTGGGGGTTTGGGTTGTAGCTATTTTTTCCATTGAAACGTGTAAGGTTTTAATATTGATTATTTTTGTTTAATAAGAACTTAGAAGGTTTTTATTTTCATTTTTATATATGACATGCAGTATGTGAAGATTTATATAACTTGGACAAACTGTTGAATTTATCTCAACTTGAAATTTTTGGTAGAGTTTTCTGGTGAAAATATCTGAGTTTGGTGCTTTTGGGAGGAAGCGAGGAGGTAAGGAAAAGTAAAAAACAGGACTTTATAGTCCTCATATATTTTTCTAATTTTTCTCGGGAAATTTGTTTAAGTTTGCTAACTTCAGGAGTCACTTTTGGTAGAGCATATTTTCCTAAAATTTTCTTAATTTTTCCACACTTTTCATTCAAGTTTAAAATATATATATAGATAGATAGACGATAGATAGATAGATAGATAGATAGATAGATAGATAGATAGATAGATAGATATAGGTTTAACTGTTTTATTAGTTTTTCTGCAAAAAGAACTTTCAGAAATGATGTATAAGTTTTAGTATATTCTCCTATGTGCTAATTTTAACCTTTGTATCTGTATCACTTCTTTCTTATTTCCTTAGATTTGTAGTTTTTCTTTTTTTGGATTGTTATTCTGTTTGTTTTTAATTTACATTTCATATTTGTATAACCACAAAAACTATATTTCTCTGAGTTGTGATAAGAATACAGTCAGGAATAAAACATATGTTTGGCATTGTGAAAGTTGATTACACAAATTTGGTCATTCTTATTATACCCAATTGAATCAGAGTGAATGGACCAAGAGGAAAAAGCACTCCAGACACATAATACCAGCTCCAAAAATTGAACTTTTTGCAAACTCAGGTGCTGAAATAGCCTGCTGTAACCATCAGACCATTTTTACCTGGTAGCTGCTGAAAAAAACTGCCTGGGCTATAAGACTAGTTTTACTTGTTACTATCACTCACCAATCAGAGCTTGACCGCTCCCCAAAGCTTCTCTAGTGACAGTGAGATTTCTTTCAAAATAATACATAAAATTTATTTCTAACAAAATCCCACCCTTGTCTTTGTTCTTTGGACAAACCAAAGACCACTCTGATCTGCTTGTATTCCACAAACTGCAATTCTGTGATTCCCAAATAAAATGTTTAATTTACCTTTAAAAATTTAATGAAAGGACTGTATATAAAAGTGTGGGATTAGGGAAAACATGTTTATTATTTTGTACTGTCAGGGCTTATAAAGTTTACATTATTTTTCTGTAAATTTAAAGCACACATTAGTTTCAGTCTAGTTGCTTTGTTAATGCATTCATTCTTACTCTCAGTCCTTTTGCTGTAGTTTTTGCAATCACATGTCTATTGTTTGAAGTTTGTTGTTTAGCAACTTTCTCAATAATAATTTGTAGCAATGATATTCCCTAAGTTCTTGCATGTTTGAAACTGTTGCCATTGAATTTGAGTGGCAGTTTGTCGGGAATAAAATATTGGTTATATTTTCTTCTTTTGAGAATTCTGTATATATTAGTCTGAGCACAGAATAAAAGTTTTGACCATAGAAATGAGAATATTTTTGTTTTAATGCCAAAATAATTTCTTCACATTTGAATTACAGAAACTCCTAGAATATGAATGAATATTTGTCATGCTCATCTCATTCATCCTAGTATACAGTGTGACCCTCCATATTTTCATTGTGTAACATTTTGACAAATAAATTGAATTTTACTCTTAAGCTGCTCCCTTTGTTTCAGTTTTCTTTTTTGCATCCTCTAAATAGTCATTCTTTGTTTCCTTAGGCTGTCATTTTTCATCTGATCTACTTTTATTATTTTATTTTTTATTTGCACATTTCTGTCATCTCTATCTTCTATATCCTGTATTGTTTTACAATGTCTATTCTCTGTTTCTTTTTCTTTTTTCCTTTATTTCTCAGACAGATGCTTTGAATACTTTCATGTGCATTTCATGTTGCATTCCTCTTATTAATTCACCATCTGTTCTCTCAGATCTTGTATTTATTTTTGTGAATTTGCTTTATAGGAATGATTGCATTATTGGGAATTTTATGTGTTTTGTTTTGTTGTAATGATTCATGGTTTAAATTTGCTCACAGATTTTACTCACTCCATACTATTTTTCTTTCTGGTAAGGATCCTTACAATTATTATTTTTTTTATCTTAACCCTTTCCCTCTTTTACATGTAACATCTTTGTATAGATACTGTATTGGCTTAAAAAATATTCACCATTAAAAGAGGTAAATTTCTCTAGCCATTTGCTTTAGTTCATATTCAGTGTGGTTTATTGATGGTGGTGGAGTTGAACAGGGCTTTATTCCAAAATTTTGAAACTTTCCTTATGAGAGGTGATTTAGTGTGTCTTTTTAAAAATCTTTGTTCTTCCTTAGCCAGTGGATACAGAGAATACGCTTTTTAATTTTTTCTTAATAGTTCACATTTAAGGTATACAACATGATGTTTTGATGTACATATACATAGTCAGATGATTACTACTGTCAAACAAATGAACAACCACCATCTAACATAGTTCCCTTTTCGTCGTGGTGGTAAAAGTGACAAAAATCTACTCTTAACAATTTCACAGTATACAACAACTATAGTTCTCATGCTGCTCATTAACTCTCCAGACTTACTTATCCTCCATAACTCAACCTTTGTACTGTTGGATTTTCATTTTCCCATCGACTCCCACACTCTACCTATGATAACCAACAGTGTACTCTCTGTTTCTATGTATGCAAGATTTTCTTGGCTTTTTGTTTGTTTAGTTTTCACATATAAATGAGATTATGCAATAATTTTCTTCTGTGTTTGGCTTATTTCACTTAGAATAATGTCCTCTAGATTCATCAGTGTTGTTGAAAATGGCAGAATCTCCTTTTTAAGGCTGAATAATATTCCTGTGTGTGTTATATAAACACACACACACACATATATATATATCACATTATTTATTCATCTATTGGTGGACCATTAGTTTGTTTCCATATCTTGGTTATTGTTAATATTACTGTGATAAACACAGGGGCACAGATGTATTTGTGAGGTGCAGATTTCATTTCCTAGGGAGATATACCCAGAAGACAGATTGCTGCATCATATGGTAATTATACTTTTAATTTTTTTAGGAACCTCCATGTTGTTTTCCATAATGGCTGCCCTAATTTACATTCTCAATGACAGTGTATGAGGGTTTCCTTTTCTCCACAAACTCACCAACACTTGTTTTCTCTTGGTTCCTTGATACTAGCTATTTTAACTGATGTAGGTAATGTCTCATAGTGGTTTCGATTTGCATTTCCCTGATTATTATTATATTTTTATTCAGAGAGTCTCTTTTTATCCATTGCATCATAGTCAGACCGCTTCCTGCGAGTATGGCTTGTCGATGATATTCTTCAAACAGCTTTGTATGATAGATTTTACTTGGGGGCCCCAATGTATCACACATCCCATTATTCATGCTCATAACAATGTGAAAATTACAGGCTTAAGACTCAAGAAACCTGGCAGCTTCCACCTTTCAGTAGCATTTAGCCCCCATGTCAGAGGCCTCTCTATGTTAAGGCCATTATTCTATGAGGAATCTCAAATGCCCATGGGAAGAGGACCAATGGAATCAAGGCCCTGGGAGCAACAATTGACAGCCATGTGATGAGGTCATTTTGTCCCTCTCTGTCATCTCAGCAGTTCAGCTGACACCACCTGTAAAGAAGAGATGCCGATCTGCCCTCATCATGTAATCATGAGCAATAATAAAGTGTTGTCGTTTTAAGCCACTAACTTTTAGGGTGGCTTGTTGCATTGTAATGGAAAATTGAAACGACTACTTAACTGGAGGGGCACTACTATTGCCACTTCTATTCCTGCTATTGGAAGCAGTAAGTATAGATTTGGATCTCAGTGTTGAAATTTACCCTTAAGCAGTACAATTTTTACATCTGATAGCTGCAACTGCTAGCTCCTTTCATTGTTTATTTCTCTTTTGGTGGCATTTTCTTTTCATTTCTCCCTGCATGGCATCTTTCTATCCCTATTGTTTCTCTGTTGATTTTAGCAGCCCTTACACCTGCTTCATAGCCTGGGATTGTAAAGAAATGAAGTTGTGTTTTTATATACTGTTTTCTTTGTTGCTTTTAGATGTTTTTCATGAGTATGATGAAACACTGCCTTTATGATACCGTGTTCCAACTGGAAATGAACATCTGTCAACAGACAGCCTTCTTAGGAATAAGGTACATTAAGCATTCTGGATTCATTTTAGCAGACTTCTTTTGTGGTTGTTTGTTTTGCTTTTCTCCTGTACTTACTGTTTTTTTTTTTTTTTCAATCTGGCAGAAACTTATCTCAAACCCATTGGCTCAAATTCAGAACCAATTTTTATACTGACACATTGAGATTTTGTTTCAACAAGATATGAGAAATATCCTCGAAGCAGTCCCTGAGCCAGTGGACAGCCTTGTTCAATTCCTTTCCTTAATGTTGTAACTTTCTCCTCCACTCTCCTTAAAATCAGATTTCATTTTATGCAACAGCCTAAGGATAGGGGAGGGTCATGATCAAATTTACAGTTTAGATAACGAATCATTTTGGCGTTTTTTTTCCCCTCAGTGTTGCCTGCTCTAAGATTTAATCTCAGAAGTGTTCTTTTACTTATTTCTATCTTAATCAAAAAGAAGCTCTGAAAGTCTTGAGAACAAATATTTCATCTTCCCCCATAGAAATTTCTAAATTAAGACATAAAGAAGATATTAACTAGCATTAGGTAATAATATAAGAAGACAGACAGATGAAGGGAGACATAGCTAGGCCCCAATACTAGAGGAAGAAATTAGAGGAAAATGCTAAGCTACCACTTCATCTTTGCCAATGATCAAAAAGTGAGATAAAATACTTATTAAAATTGTAATTTCTTCCATTAATATTGCAACAAGCTAATGAATTCTAGCAGATGTATATTTACCCTGACATATGTACCCTTTAGAAAATGCCTAGTTCCTTTGTCTTTTCATCAATTTTGTGAATAATAATGAATGGAATAACCATGATAAACATTTTACAATTTTATTTAACACTAAATATTTGATAGGGAGTTTTGAGAGACTTAAGCATAAAAAAAGATAACTAATGAAACCAATTCATTCTTCAAAGTGATTTATTTAATCCTCACAAAAAGTCTGCTGTGGAGGCAGGGCAGCAATAGTGTCTTGCCCAAGCTCAGACTGCCGTAGCAAAATATCATACACTAGGTGGCTTAAACCACAGAATTTGATTTTCTTAGTGCCCTTAAGGCCGGACGTTCCAGATCAAGGTGCTGGCTAGTTCAGTGCCTAATGAGGAGCCTCTTCCTAGTTTGGAGATGACTGCTCTCTCACCATGTCCTGACATGGTAACGGGAGAAAGAGTGCTCCAGTCTCTTAGCCTTTCTTCCTCTCTTGTAAGAACACTCATCCCATTAAGGGGACCGGAACTTCCTAACCTCATCTCAACCTAGTTACCTCCCAAACATCCCACTTCCAAATACTATCACATTGGTTGTTAGGGCTTTAATCTATGAATTTTAGGGAACGTGATTCAGTATACAGCATGCAGCACTTACAGCTAAGGTAACAGAGACCCCCAGAGAATAAGGTGGGGTTGCAGCACAGCTTAATAAATTGAGGAACTTTCTTATTCCTGACACTGAGTCTTACACATAAACCAGATTTAGCATATATTTATAAAATTGATCCAATAATACTATAAAAATATCCTCAATTCGTGTTTTTGTACACAGAGCCCTAAGGGCAGACATGTTTAAAGGCAGCAACTGTAACTATCCAATAAAATGAGTAAATCACAAAGATAAAGAAGAATATACAAACATACAATCATTTTATTTCAATAACATCTGTGTTTCTATCACATTATATTAATTCAATTTTATAAGCTCTGCAATTTTATTGAAATATATAGAAAAGTGTTTTATCAGTAGAAACCATTATATTTAGAGATGTAACTATACATCATTTTAATTACAGAGGCTCTTACATAGCAAATCTCAGTGTACCCTGATTGCATCCTGTTAAGTGCCTAAGCACAGATCTATAGAACTTATCAAAAACAATCACTTGACCAGTTCAATGCCATTCAAGGGACCACAAAGAATGAAATGCTTTCTTATATGTAGCCATAGAAAAGGATTGAAAACTCTGAAATAATATAGTTGTAGAATACAGTATTAGTGATTTCCTTCTTCCTGGACAATGAGCATAGGCTGAAAGAAATATATACTTTGATTAATAAGAAGTAATTAAGTAGAAAATCATAACATATTTTACAAATCTAGCAAAGGCAAATTAAATACTATAAATCAAATGAAATTAAAGATATTAAAATGCCAATTCCAGCAGAACTGAAGGAAAGACTGGAGAAAAGGAGGTATTTCTTCCAAGCCTGACAGCATGATCCCTGCAAGACAGAATATCTGAAGTTAAATAGAAGATTCTTCATACACTTAGTGTTTTTTTAAATAAATTATATTATCATTGTAAAATTAGAGATGTATCCAATTATCCACAGATGCTAAGAGACATAATGGAAGTGATGGGAAGAGAGTCCATGAAATATATACCCAGTAGAAATTGACTTGAGTTTGGAAGATTTGAAGACAAACACAATTTTAATTTTATTAGTATACATAAGACAGATTTCATTTCCCCAGGGACATATAAAAAAAGTCTAACAAATCCCAAATTCCTTTACCTCACCCCAGCTGTTTGGTGACTAGGGAACCAGAAATTCAAATATTTGTTTGTACACACGACTATAATTCTGTGCTAGCTTTATTTGTATGCATTCCTGCATTAGTACAGTCCTAATGTATTTTACTTGATACATTTTTGTGCAGGGCTTAAAGCACATTTTTCGACCACATGTTGGAACATTTGTGCACAAAAAATTCCCATCTTTATGTTTGAAATTTATGGGAACACAATTAAAATGAGAGGGGTCCAAAGGTATCAAGATAATTACATTTTTCTAATCTTACTAAACAAGATAAATTACCTGCAGGCCCTCTTATAAAAGATGAAATCTTCATAATAAGTGAATTAATCAAGCAGCAGCTTGCTACTGCACTTGCATTTATAACAGAAATGATTCAAAGACTTATTTTATGGGGAAATTAATGGAAACAGGCTTTTCATTCTTCTGCACCAATTGAAAACCTCAGCAACCAGCTGCCCACTTGTCAAGAAAACAGAAAGAAGCTGGAAACAAAGATAAATAAAAACACCTTTTTCCTGGCACTTTTGAAGAGAAAAAGGAGCTCTCATTTACAGCAGCCATCTGTTTGTTATTTAATATGGGTGAATTACATGCTGTAATGAGTTTGTTTCTGCATCACTCAGTGCAATGGAACACAAGTTCACACTCATAATGTGCAGCAGTTTTTAAAAGCTAATCATTTAATTGGACACAATCGTCAATGACAAATGGAGATGTAAAAACTCAGCCAGCTGTAGAGTGAATATGTAATCATTGTGAAATCATATTATTTTACACGCTTGAAGACTCCTTAATAGTATCTGATGTTGGTCATCACCGCAGACTCTGAAGAATTGAAGAAACATGGTGAAAAGCAGCCTTTCAAAATGGCTTTATATAATTGGCCCATATAAATGCCTGTGTTAGAACTACCATTTGACTTAGGTATGTGAAATCTGTCTAAAGTGTTTATTACTGTCTTAATTTTTGATTTGATTTTTATACATTTTTCATATATGTATGTTTTACTAGGCAAGAATTATAGTTCAGGAGAAGCTTGGGTGATTTTTTTTAAAATCTGCTTTAGTAGATGCATCCACTGATTTGTTGCTTTTGCATATGACATCACAAACAGATAAACATGGAGACTTGGGAGACTGCATGCCAACAGATTTTTTTAAGTCCCACACATACACAAAAGCTCTACTTCAGGAAATCAAACTTGAGTGCTTACACCTGCATGCGTTACAATAATAATTTAGACAGTGCTGCCTTAGTCTGTATTAGAAGAATAAAAACCTTCATCACAAAGAATTTAACCTATGGGTTCTCCACAAAGACTTATTAGCAAATATCCACAATGAGAATCATCTTCCAACTTCTAGGCATCCCAGAGAAATAAAAACAGAAATGAAGTTATTGATCTGGCCATTTTTGTACTTAATCATGCAATTGGTGTATGTTTTCTAGATTACATTATTGCTGAGAACTTTATTACAATATGTATTTTCATTTTTATTGTGCTTCCAATAATGTTAGTCTTAGTGGAAAGTTCTCATGACTGAAAAAGGAATTGAACACATCAGTATATAATCAATTGGATCAAAAATCTATGAAGCTATCTCTAAACTTCACTTAATATTAGATTTTTAAAATACATTTCAGAAGAGTAGATAAGAGATAACCATTGTTTAAAAAATACCTTACTATCCTAACTTTACAAAATTATTTCAACCGTTATTACTCAATGTCAATTAAAACCAAAATATTTATGTCTTTTATAACAATGTATATCTCCAAACATTATCTTATATTGTTATATAAGGTTCAGTAGCTCTTGATATGCTTAGAATTATACATGCTCTCGTTTTATATTCAAATAAAGTTTTGTTTTCTGGTTATGCTAGCCCTTAAAAAACAAATGCAATGACTTTACATGGTTTCCTTTTTTATAGTCCTTAGTAGCCTTTAGCATGGTAACTTCTTAATAAGTGTTGTATAAACAAATTTGTAGTCTGTTAAAGTAAGAGCAAGCAAGCTTTGAACTCTTACAGAATAGACACATAAAAAGGGGGACATGTTTTAATGTTTTCCTTATATTACTATTTATATATAGAAACTCTTGACATCAGAAATAAAAGACAATACAAAAATTGTAAGTCCACGACCAGGAAAAAAAATCACATTAATTAAAATAAAGAAACACAGATGTTTGAAGACAGAGCAGAACAGCAACTTGAACATACTAGAATAATCACCCAGGAAATAAGATAAAGACAGATGCCTTGTAAATTAAGAAAAGAGCCCAAATATGCAGTGCAAGTATGACCTGAAAGAAACCAACTGTCACATTCTTTCTAGTAAATGATTAACAGACAGGAGAGGAAAGCTGAGTAAATCAAGATGTGAAATATAGCATCAATGAAAAAACTCAAAGTAGGCCCCAAATGTAAATTCACACAAGTTCAATTAGCTAGAAAATTATCTTGAATGAATCTCATCTAACCACAATGTTTTAAGTTCCATTCACTTGGACAAAGCTCCTGATGTGAAGAAATGATACATACCACAGAGAAACTTTTTGGAGCAGAGATCTATGGACTTCCATATCTCTTGATATGGTTGAAATTCGATGTGTTGAAATTTAAATTACCCACATAAGACAATGCCTCATTTTTTATTTTGCTTTTATTTACTCTCAGAGGACACTACTTGCTATGGGAATCAAAGAAGAATACCCAGGGAAATCATAGCTTTAAAAAGAATAATCAAAATTGATTCCCAAAATCCCTTGAAGTGTAAGGAAGGGAAAGAGTGCTCTAGGACTTCTGTTCTTGGAAGGCACATGTGATTACAACAGCCCACAGATGAAGAGCCTTTAATAGCTCTCATGGCCCTGCGAGTACACTAACACTGAAAATTCCAACTAGGGTACATGTAATGCTTATCTCAAATGTCACTTTTTTCCAAAGCTTCCAGGACATTTTCAGAGTTAGTTATACTCCCTATTGTGCCCCCACAGTACATCGTAAATTCATAGTATTTATCCTATTAGAATACAGTCTTTATCTGTTTCAGTTCAAGGAATTGTCTTATTCTTTAATTTTTAATGTTTTTCCCAGTGCCTAACACGTAACAGTGATTATATAATAGATAATTAAAATATTCATAAATAATTAACTAATTTATCATTAATTGAACTGAATCTCCTAAAGGCAAAAATTGATTACTATTTTTTTTTAATTCTACTATATTGTACATAGTCAAGTATAAAGCAGATGCTCAATAATATTTGTTGATTAAATAGCAAACGGCTACTTGGACAGATGATGAATAATTTGTAGACGTTTCATAGATGCAGAAGTACCAAACACATATTTCAGGTCTTGTTTTTCATATTTAAGTAGAATTTCAAATCTTGAAAACTGAAGGAAATCTCCAAACAGCTAATTTTATGCCGGAAAAAATTGAGGCCATATAGCTAAGATCAATTATCCAGTCATCCGACTAGATAACCCTGACTCCCACACAATGTGTAGTCTACATCAAATGGTCTTGAGACTTTAATTTTATAGACATGAACAAATGGCATCCTTTTCTCTGAGTTGAGAAAATTAAAACAAACAAGAGAAAAGGGTTTACCAAAAGTCCCTACCTAAAATACGAGTCAACATAAACAAAAATTTTTAAGTAGCATTCACTTCTCCATAAAAATAGCAAGATGATAATTATACCAACTCGTTTATAATAACCAGTGTCCCTCAAGTAAAAATATGCAGAATTTAAAATATGTCAAAATTTATAAAATCATCATAATAAGAATTAGGTACACTATAGTATGTAGTAGTGACATTTCTATAATATTGGATAATGGAAATAATGTAAATATAAATTCATAGTTTCTAAAAATCTTCTATATAAGTAAAAGTTTAAGGCAACTTTCTTTTTAAAAAAGTTTATTAGCTGGCCACAGTGGCTCATGCCTGAAATCCCAGCACTTTGGGAGGCCAAGGCAGGCAGATCACTTGAGGTTAGGATTTCAAGACCAGCCTGGACAACGTGGTGAAACCTCGTCCCTACTAAAAATACAAAATTAGCTGGGCTTGGTAGCAGGTGCCTGTAATCCCAGCTACTGGGGAGGCTGAGGGACAAGAATTGCTTGAAATCAGGAGGCGGAGGTTACAGTGACCCAAGATCACCACCACTAGACTCCAGCCTGGGTAACAGAGTGTGACTCTGTCTCAAAAAAAGAAAAGAAGAAAAAAAAATGTTTTTTCAAATGATTACATATCATATTCTGTGAAAATAATGTGAAATTCAGCTAAATAGTTCATCAATTGATAAATCTAGGTAACATAATTATTCACCTAAATTCATAATATAAAAATGAGAAAATGGAATAAAAAGATTTTATATATAATACACTCTGTAAAAAATAAAACTTTAAAGTCAAAGGAGAAATTGAACACTTTACTATCAAGAAAGGATCATGCAATTCAACTTATTGTAAAGGATCATGCCATTCAACTTATTGTAGCTTGGCAAAGTTAATATACTGAAAATATGAACCATTGTCCAGATATAAATATGTACAATAACCTGTATACATAAAAGAGTGCACATAAAAATGCTCTTACGTTTTCCATATGCTGTTGTGATTGTGATAGCTTTCAGTTTTTCCCCACTCTTTTTATGTCATAGCTCACAAGAAAGATAATATTTGTATAGAAAATTTGGGTAGATGGATAAGGTCTTTGAGGAAAGTGGCCCTCCAGAGACTCAAGAGTTTTATGTTCTCAGCAGAACCGTTACCCATTTAAAGAACATAAGTATGTCTTGGATAGGAGTTCTTTTGAGTTATTCAGAAGTAACAATATCTTTGAAGAAGACAAAATTATTATGAATTCTTTCAATATTTGTGTACAGCTCTTTGAAAAAAACAGTGCTACCAATTATAAATTTTTCTAACTTGTTTCATACAGAAGTAAAATGCATTTCTACAGACGTTATTTTATTTTTAAACAAGACTGATTAATAATTTGTAATGAACTATAAGGATGAATCTCCCTCTTCTTTAGCTGTTAGAGATTATATGATTTCCAGCATATCAGTATGGAAGAGCACTACTGATTTTGATTCTTGTAAGTTTTAACTGATACATAAGGAAGTTAAAGAATTCCAGATTTTCAAAATAGAATTCCATCCGATGCTCTGATCAGAGGAATGTTCCCTATAAGTGGAAGGCTTTCAGATTTGTTTGCCTCTCTGTGAGTATATGACCCAAGATATCCTATGAGCACCAGCATGCCTAAAGATGTGGTAGTCATCATCATTCTGAAGGTGATGAACTGTTTAAAACAATAGCAAATATATTGCAAGGATCTCCTGATACATAAAAGTAGTGTTAGGAGAAAAAGAATGAGCTGGATAAATAAAGAATATTTCCTTTATGTTTATTCCTTGAGTCCCTGTATGGAACAAAGGATAGCTTCTTTGTAAGAGCCCTGCTTCAAACTATTATATATTTTATTCCATGCATGAGTCAATAATGCATGGTATTATTTTCCTTGAAAAATAGGAATGGATACGTTCTCCCCTGTTGCCAAAGTTAAAATGTTCAGTTTATTTTCAATCTGTATTTTATGCAGCTATAACAAGCATAAAACACACTTCCAAGGGGTGTAGAATTTTTTTTCATATGCCAAATTCATTGCATTATAAAGTTCCAACACTTGCTAGCCATTTAGCCGACTCTTATTGTTTAACATTTATATAGAAATTTACAACTACCAGTGGGCTTACTTTTCCATGGAAAGTAAGGAAATTTACCTTAGTTCCCACCTAAATTTAAATGCCCTAAGGTAATAAAGATATTGTTCAGAGAGTAAATTATTTCCTTTAACTGAGGAATTATAAAATCATTTATCATAATGTCCAGATATTTTTCTAACTGATATTGTAACTCATCCATTTAACTGTCATGGAAGCCCCTGCATCTATGCTTCTAATTTAAGTGAAAAGAAAATAACTGGGTGATCACAATATCTGAGTTCAAACAAAAAAGAAAACAAAGATTAAACATAATGTATTTTTGTGGCAGAAAAACAAGTGTGAGACAATCTCAGAACTACACTGTGTAACTGACATACGGAATGTTTTATGAAGAGTGATGTTTTCAGATATTTTATTTTTCTACATTGTTCTGAACACTGGAAAGATTTGTCCCCTCCAGTTGATTAGTATAAAGAAGGACCACGACCAGTACTTTAACAAAATTACTTTTTCTTAAATAGTACAGAACAATGGGTAAATTGCTATATATGAGTCTTCTCTTTTATATCATCTCCCTAACCTTTTCTAATTATTTTCTTCTAAGATTCAGGTTTGATACTCACAACTTAAGTTTTCCAAAATTCAATGGATAATACAATAAACAAGAAGCAACATACTAACTTCTCTGCTTCTGTTTTATCATTAGTTTAATTTTATTTTTTTCCCAATCAATATATTATTATTTTTTAAATTATCCCTTGAGAATGTGATTCATATATTGACAGATAATTTTGCCAGTTGCCAAATAACACGGCTTTTAAATCTCCCCAAGTGGAAATTTTAAGTAAGAAGAAATGCCACTGTAAAATAAATTTTAAAATGTTACAAATAAAAACAGAAAAAAAATGCATGTGAAGATGTAAGCTCCAAACTCGGTCATTTAAAATATGTGACCTCTAGCAAGTTATTTTCATATGTAAAGTGGTGGAAATATTATATATCTCAGGATATTATTGTGAGGGGTAAACAAGATGACATATGTAAAGCATTTAAGCACTTAACAGTTTGTAGATCAAAATTTTGGAGTGAGTACAGCAGGGGCTAAGAGCATAAGCTTAGTCAGATTTGGGGTCTTATCCTGAAAATGTAAAATCCCAGAATATATGTTAAATATGCAATAAATCACTGTATATAATATATATGTATATATATGTACACACAATTTAAACATATAATATGTACATATATGTATATGGATTATATATTTGTATACACATACATACATATACTGTATAATATATAAATATATACACATAGTATATTTATATATATACACATAGTATTTATATATCTAAATATATACACAAATATATATAGAGAGAGATAGAGATAGAGACAGAGACAGAAGATAGATAGAGATCTTCAACTTTAGCCTTTCCTCATGACTGTGCTTCCATAAATGTGTATTTCACACAGGTGTCAATCGAAATCTGCTTCACTGTTTTGGTCCCAAAATCGTTGGCTTATTTTTAACCACAATATGTTGGACTCCCTGGTTAATGCCTTGGGTTCACAGTCTTTAAGCCCTCCTATGTTTCTGACTCCAAGCAGCCACTGCTTAAACCACTCTTTCATCCCGGTTAGCTAGTGAAAACATCTGTGCCTAGACTCCTCTTGATCTTGATATTCCACTAAATATCTGTTTGCTGCATAACTCCTGACATTGCCAAGTACTGTGCAAAAATTTGTTGAGAATGGCAAATATTTCCATTCAGCTTTTCTTTGGAGATAACACTAAATGATGAAATCTATAAGCTCCTATAATTTGCATTATCTCTTCTTGAATCACATTCTTGGGATCTTTTTATTATTTAAAAATTTGAGTATCACCTATGCTATCTTTATCTTTCTTAGACTATGTTATTTTTGTTAGATTAATGTAACAGTAATATTACCTATGTTACTTTTCCCAGTTCTTGCAAATTCACATTAAGCTTTAAAAATAAAAAAATTAAAGTCTTTCTGTGAACATTTTGATGATTTTTAAGGCCTAGATACATGAAGACGTACCTACTTCAGAAATGAGCAATGTAGGATGAATTCTTAAACGATTGATTTCTATTATTCCATTTCTTAAGTTCCCCATTAATCAAATAAACACAGCCTTTTATACCAATATTAAAATACACCACATTGTTTTCTCATATTTCTCTTTGTTTTTCATCATACATTATGATGTGAGTATGGATTTTGAATTTGTCTCTACAGCTCTGCCTTTGAAATAATGTAATACAATTTATTTATTAGAAGAATAAAGTGCCTAAGACTTTTGACTGACTAATATAATTACTCTTGAGAGGAGAGCAAAGAAGAAACCTAGTTTATTTTGATGTTTGCCAGCATACCTAAAATGCCAACATGGAAAGAGCTCAGAAGAAAAATGCTGGAATATTTCAGATGTGAAAGGGAGTAGGATAACTAAAAGCACAAAAAAGACAGCAAAATCAATAGATGTGCTGATCTATTCACTTTTATTACTGAACTTTGGGGTTTCGAGCTGAATTTCAGCTATTTCACATGTCCCTAGATATAATGAAGGGATGATATAGACTTCAGTAAGTTATGGGGTTTATCTCATACATGTGAGTGCCTCATAACTTATTAGTGCCCGAAGCCATAATGAGTTATGTTACAGTTTTCATACAGAGCCTCCAAAGCTTGTAACTCACCAAAACCCTGGGCAATTTCATTTATTTAATGCCTTTTTAGTATTGGAGCTTCTAATCTAGAATTTGTTAATTTTTTTCATAGTTACTGGGTAGTGTCCCCTGTGGTATGTTAAATTCAAAAGGTCACAAGTCCCTATATATTTGGCTGAAGTGAACATTCTCTGCCACAACATCTAAAGAATAATATTTGGGGGTGGCACACTAATACATCATGTCAAGCTGACATTTATATCATGAAGTTTACTGTTTTCTGGTGATATTGTTCATAATATAAGCCTTTGACTTGTTTGCAATCACAAGTTGGTAGGATATAGTGTCCTGTTAAGCATCTCTGGTGGTGGTTTGCAATGAATATGTGACTGCTCTACAAATTTTCAGAGATGTTTTGCCCTTTCATTTTGGTAGGGGTATAGAGAAGATGATAAAAGGCTCTATTCATCAAATGTTGTTTCTGTGGGAGTATCTTCAAATTTTCCTGGATTCTTTTTTCAGGTGGCCAGATGTGTATATATGTGGTTCATCATTCTGAACAATAGCCCTGAAGAAAATTGCATTTGTTGTAACTGATTCCTTAAAAAGTTGTATTAAAAGTGTTCTTTTGAACATAATAAAACAAGATTGCTTTTGTTCAGATTTGCTTTTTCACTGTATCACAGTTTTTAGTAAGTTTTGCCATAGAATGTGACAGACAACAAATAATGAAGACATTCATTAAGCGCTAAGATCCATAATTTTTTAAAGTAGTTTACAATTATTTTATGAGAAACCAAAATCATTTAGCTTAATGAATAAAAGTGTTCTTGAAAGAATTCAGCATTTTATTTTTTATAGCCCTATAAAGGAAATAACATTTTAAGACCTAAAAACAATGACTTCTTGATTAAATATGGCTACTTTTTTTATTATTCCTTTCATTAATGGTTACCTGTCTGGAGGAATGTATATGTGGAATTCTAGCCATAATATACACTACTTATATATTTTACCATACATAGAATAAGTTCTTACCCCCCTTAGTATATATTTAATAAATGCAAACCAATTTTACACGTAGCTGAAAAAAAATTAAGAAGGACTTTCTGCCTGGGAACAATACAACACAGTCTATCCCAAAGTCAAATGTAATTATTTTTGAATCTTCTTTTCTACTGGAATATCTATACATCTTCTTTCCTCTATTCCTGTGAGTATTTGAGAGATGACAGAATTTGTATCTTACATTTTAAAACCATTCATATTTGCTAATTCCAAGGAAAAGTCCATTTAAAAAAGACCTAATTAAAATAAAGTAGTTGAAATCCCTGGAGATAACTAGTTTTTCCTTTAAGAGATCGGCTGTAATCCAGAAAAGTAGATAAACACAGATGTCATAGAACTTGACAGATGTAAAATTAAGTTTTTTTAAGTTAAATAATTTTTATAATGAGCATATATTCATAAATAAACTGAAAACAATTTAGTCTACTATTTTCCTTATTATGGATGATTTCCCTCTAATAACAATTTTGTTACTTTCAATTTTATGTTTGTTTCTAAGTGTTGGTCATTTTACATTAGGGAGTAATTTGTTATACTACAAATGCAATATAAAACTAAATAATGTAATGAGATGCCGACAAGCCAACAAAAAGACATTATAAAGGCAAATGAGAAAAGACATTCTCTAGTAAATACTAAGAACCAAACTACAAGGAAAATAAGTTGTTTTCAAAATAAAGTGGCAAGCAGTTTGATTCTATTTTCTTACCTCCATTGTCTTCTTACCACTTAAAAATAATCAATTAATTAGTTAAATTAATTAAAATCTATATAGACTTGCTGAGTACTGGCTTGAACCAACATTTTAGTTTGCCTGCTGATTTTAAAATAAAAATAAAATCAAGACAAATTTGTTTTTTTTGTTTTTTTTTTAAGAAATGAGCTAAAATGGAGTATGTCTTTATCTGGAAGTATATCTAACTACCAGCTCAGTTATGTAAGTCATTTTCAAAGTCCATATAAATACAAGGTCTAGTAGGACACAGTTCATACCTGGATAAAATAAGAGTAGTAGGCATATTTAATATCTTAAGAGCAAAACAGAGAAATGTTAACAAAAATATCCATTTTAAAATATCTTACAATTCTTAGATTATGTGGTCATTTGAGATTTGCTTGTAAAATGTATCTCACTAATCCAGAATATTGGCTAATCGAACTTACACAAAAAGTGCATTGAACAACCTGCGAATGGAAAAGATTTATAAAAAAAATTTTGAAGATTAGAGTGCAAAATTATTGGAATTAAAAATGTTAAGCCCAAAATTAAAACTGAAAATGAGGCCAAGAGAAGTTAATGCAATTTGGTCAAGGTTATAAAGTTTATTAAGAATAATAATGAGATTAGATATCCTGGTATATTTCTAGGAATTTTTGTCTCATAATGTAGTGAAAAATAAGGACTTACTTCTTAAAATGTTGTTTAACCAAAATGTATTATTTTTTATATGTATGCCTTACAAAGCACTAAGTGAAAATTTAAAATATAAAGCATGCATGCGTGTGTGTGTGTGTGTGTGTGTGTGTGTGTGTGTGCCTAAAACTAAAAAACATTAAGGAAAATACGGAATAGTATATCCATATTTGTGCCATTTCTCCAGCCTTAAAGGAAGACATAGTAAGATTTATCATGGTACCAGTGTAATCCTAATTATATGTCATTATTTTTACAGGTACCTAAAGCCAAGATGTTTCTTGGAAAAATTTTTTGAAGCTGCTATAGGATCAGGGGTACCCACTAACTACTTTTTCTTGATGAACATATCACGTCATTCCTTTCAATTACCTTATATTTCTTTTAACTTTTTAAATCAATTAATTAATTAGTTTATTTATTTATTTTTTGAGACAGGGCCTCTCTCCTTCATGAGCCACAAACTTGGCTCACTGCAGCTTCCACCTCCCGGGTTCAAGCGATTCTCCCACCTCAGCCTCCCAAGTAGCTGGAATTACAGGCAGGCGCCACCAGACCCGGCTAATTTTTGCATTTTTAGTAGAGACGGGGTTTCACCATACTGGCCAGGCTGGTCTCAAACTCTTGGCCTCAAGCGATCTGCCCACCTTGGCCTTGCGAAGTGCTGGGATTATAGGCATAAGCCAACACACCCGGCCTATTTTAACTTTTAAGTTCAGGGGTACATGTGCTGGTTTGTTACATAGGTAAACTTGTGTCATGGGGATATGTTGTACAGTTTATCTCATTATTGACATATTATGCTAGTATCCCCTGGTCAATTTTCCTGATCCTCTCCATCCTCCCACCCTCCACCCTCCAATAATCTCCAGTGTGTGTTGTTTTCCTCTAAGTGTCCATGTGTTCTCATCATTTAGCTCCCATTTATAAGTGAGGACAGACATTATTTGGTTTTCTCCTCCTGTGTTAGTTTGCTAAGGATAATGGCCTCCAGCTCCATTCATGTCCCTGCAAAGGTCATAACCTTATTCTTTTTATGGCTGCATAGTATTCCATAGTGTATATATAACATATTTTATTTATCCAGTCTATCATTGATGGCCATTTAGGTTGATTCCATGTATTTGCTATTGCAGATAGGGCTGCAATGAATGTACATGTGCATACATATTTTATTTCTATAATACTATTATTTAGAAACTGATACTAGTCAGGAAAAAAAAGCAGTAGGGAAAAATTCATTACTATATACAAATCTTCGTGGCTATGTCTCCACAACTGAACTGAAAAGCAGTGATCTAACTCGACTACCTTGTTTTCTCATGGACTATCTGAAATAACGTAGATATTTAGAGAGGATAACTCAAGAGAGGAGTCCATAAGAACTCTGAGGCATTTATGACATATTCCTGTCATGATAATGAACGCAAGTCTTCAAAAATTAATCTCTTCATGAACTCTTCCTGTCATGTATATGTATAGACAAAAAGAACGATGTCTTTAAAGACAGATAATGTTTCATAGACATATTGTTCTTTCTGTGTGACAAACAGGGCAAAAACCTGTTGCTAAATGTACCTCAATAATTTTCATGAACGTACACACATAAATGATAGACCTAGAAGTATATCATAGATATCTCTATATATATGAAAGAGAATGAGAGAGAGTGAAAGAGACAGAAAGAGAGTGTGAGGGAGAAAGAGACAGAAACAAAGACAGAGAGTGTTTGGAAATTGGGTTCAAAACACCTCCTGTAAAAATGTTCGTATTGACTACAAACGAATTCTTGAGAAGATTGTATGTACAACTAATGGTTGAGAATGTAGTCTTCACATCTCTAAGTCTACAGATCTAGGCCCTCTGGTTTCACATTCCTTTTAAGCCACTTATTATCTGACCTTGGTTAGCCTCGTTGTGTCTTTGTTTTCTCATCTGTATGTAGGAATGATGATGATAATGATAGTTTCTTCTTCCTAAGTATGCTCTAATAAAATGCTTAATATAGGTAAAGGACACTGATAAAGCATCAGAAATTTAGATCATCCATGTTTTGTATCCATACTTTCAGATTAAGCAATCAATAAATAGGTGTTCAATTCCCTCAAGAAATATGTGAGATATGAATGGGACACGTACAAGAAGTGACAGGTTAAAAGGTTAGCAGGACTCTGTTTGAGGACTAAATTTTCTTATTCTTTGTAACTTAATACAATTAAGTTATCTAAGGCAAAGGACTTTACAGATGTCTTCTAATCAGTTCTGTTATTTTCAGCTATATATGTATATATATACATATATATACACACACACATACACACACACACACACACACCATATATATACTTTTATATCTGTGTGTGTATATATAAAACACAAAAACACACACAAATATATAAAAGTATATATATACTGAGTGTGTGTGTGTATATATATATATATATAATTTTCCAAGCTATGTTCAAATCTTGCTTGATTTTGAATTTATCAAAAAGGACCCTTGTAAGGGTCCTTTTGAAAACAACCATGCTTATTGGAAAAAATAATTTGCAAATATTATATATAATAATCATATACATTGAGTACAAATACTTGGAAGAAAACATTTTCTTTACATAATAGATAGTGGTTATAAAAGTGTTTCATTAGTATATCCAACTTAGCAATGAAAAGTGTGCTGCAGATGCTTTTCTATAGATTTCAGAAGCTTGTTAGATAATTGCTAAAATGATGCCCTGGCACAGCAGAATTCAAGCAAAGTAAATTAAGCCACCTTCTCCCAACAGTCCACACATGGCATACAGGAAATGTCACCAGTGACTTGCTGTGGGAGAGGAGCCTGTGGGTGAATGGCTATTTCCTTTCTTTCTAAAGAACTGTAAGTAAAGTAATTTGTAATCAGAAGGTTTGGTAAACCATTATTTTTTGCTTGAGGGAAGGCCTGTACTTTGTTTCTTTCTGTATAATATGTATTTTTATATATTTTATGATAGTAATTCTGTAAAATATGCATGATGCATTATATAAGTGCTTATAAATATATTGGTACATTTATATCCCACAAAATAATATTTCTATATTCTAATGTCAAAAAGTATTTGATCATTTTAAAAGTCCTTCTAAGAGATTGTTCTTTTAGTCTTTACTTATTATCCTTCAATCATAAAATTAAAAAATTGCCCAACACTCACCAATTCGTGTATCGTAACTATTAAGAGTACTGTAACCCATTTAGCGACAGCTTTTGTTCCCTTATTTGGCACAATGATAGGAGAAGATATCTGTGAGTTCTCACCTGCTTCAGAAAAGGACACATCATAGAACGCTATTTCACTATAATGATAGCTTAGTGCATTAGCAGGTACTTTGATCTTTATTGTTTCAAGCATTTAGATTGAGCTACACTTGTTGGGGGGGACATTTATTTTTCTAGGAAAAACATTTTTGAGTCATAATTTACTCTAATTTTAAGAAATGATTAGGGTAGAAATTTGGATGTCTTTTTTGGCTAACTTTTTTCATTCTTGTGGATGGTGTAGAGTGGCTCTTTGTTTTTTGAAGGTCAGGTGACAATTACACTAACTATAAACATTCATTCTATTCCACTGCTAAGTGATTTCTACTTTAAATTGCTTCTAAGTCTTTTCTCACCCACCTTAAATCCAATATTTATTTTAACCTTGAGCTGCCTAAGACCTTTAATAGGAAGCTTCAAAGCATTTTAAAAATCGTATCCTTTTTAAATCTTTCTCATTTGAATGCAAGTGCCTTGAAAGCTCAAACAGTGTTGGTTGTTCTTATTGAAGTTTATAATGCTTTAGATATTCAAATCAGCTCTATGTCTTCCATTTGTTATGCAAATCTTTAAACTTTATATACTGCATGGTTTATCTACATTAATACAGCTCTCACTAACAGGTCTTACTAGCACAGACATATACTCTAAAGGTGCACATTTTTCGTGCGTTGAATTACCATAAAATCATAAAAATAGTGTGTATTGCTTTACTCTAATCAGACTCAGTTTTATGTGGTTGTTGAAAGCCCTTTTACATTCCATTCTGTGTCTGGAGGTCTGTGTATAAAACTGATTCAGAAAAAGCAAAGTGAAGACACCTGCTGGCTTATAGCACAAATACTAAAATATCTTAGAGCCTGCTGAAAGGAGAATTGGAACAATATGTCATTACTGAAGGCTCACTTGCAAGTTCTAATGTATTATAATGAAAACAGTATGACAAACCTAATGAGACAGTGAAGATTTGGGTAATTGTTCCTACAATGTATGGTAACTTTTCCAGCCGTTATTGGCAAACATAAAACCTAATGAGATTTTATTAATTTAAATGCAGTACATCTGCAAAACATTTCCTTCCTTGCATTCTCCTCTGATAGTCTTCCTTTCCACATGGACTTGATCCTTTTAAGTTAATTGTTCTGTATAGTACACTCTCCAAACAAAACACTTGACATAAATGTGGATAAAACTTTTTCCATTTATTTTTGTATACATTGTCCTGAAGCACAATATTACATTCAAGCCTGGGAAGGCTATCAGTATAACATCTAATAATAGCATAATGTTTGTATTTATAGTCAAACTATTTTTGCTAGAATCTTCTGAGTGTTATTTTAAAGCTGTAAAAATGTCATTTTTTCTTAATTTGTGATGGAAAAAGATAATTTCCTGTTATTTTCAACCATATGTTTTAAATTGTGAAAACACTAAAGATGAATAAAAATCAGTGTCCTGCCCATACACTACCTCTTACTCAAGCAATCAGTATTTACTAATTTTTAAAGTATTAAACACAATCAGCAAGCTCAGTCTACTTCTATGAAATCTAAATAAAAATTTTTAAATATCTTTACATATTCATCACAAATAACATTTCTCTACAAATGAAAACATTTTCATCTGAATTTTTAAAATAGCACTGTTTAAAACATGGAAAGACATGAAGAGAATACTAATTTGCTACTATTAATCTATAATTCCTGTGTATTTTCAGCATAATTCAATTTGTTCTGTCTGTTTCAAGCTACAGTGTCATACACACATGATAGGTGAAATTTTGACTTTGCAGTGTTAGGTGAAAGAACAGTTCTTGATGAAGGCACCAGTAACGCATTGCCAGCTCATGGTAGAGAAAGCAATAGAGCTGTCAGGAAGTTCAAAAATTATATTGTCTCTGCTAGAATAACTGGAAAGAGATCATATTCACTTTCCCCCTGAGTTTTGCAGGTCATTTTGGATTTACAGTACAGCATTTTATTACAGTTTGAAAACTTTATAGAAAACTAAGTTTTCTATTTCATTGTTATCAAATGTTTTTTCATGCAAGCAGAAACAATTGAATCAAAATGTGTTTAAGGATTGCTGTGTTATTTTTCTAAGCTCTGATTATTAACAATATAATTTAACAGGGCCTAATCATCTTATTTTGTAATTTAGACTTTAGCTGAATACATTTTTTACATTATAAATGGGGTAGAATTTGTAGAGTGCCTTGAAGACTGAAGTGGTCAGCAATTTTTCAACAGCCTTTTGAAGGTTTAAGTCAAAACTGACACCCTCCCAACCAAAGGAATGGATTAGCACTAAATAACATACATTTTCACAATGAATTTAGAGCAACATGTTCTTAAATTTACCTTGTGTTCTATGCGTATTGCTTGTTTTTTATGTCTTCGAAAACATGTCTATTTCTTGGGAGAAGCATTTCTTGGAAGGGATTACAAAACAACTTCTTCCAGAGTAGACTAGGTAAACATATTGCTTTTCTCTCATTGAAATTGAGAGGTGGTTATCCTCTT
This sequence comes from Homo sapiens, assembly GCF_000001405.40. Lineage (NCBI taxonomy): Eukaryota > Metazoa > Chordata > Mammalia > Primates > Hominidae > Homo > Homo sapiens. The sequence goes on along the minus strand of NC_000013.11, from coordinate 70,768,433 downwards.
ACTTAGTATATCTTAAGTAAGTATACGATTTTATTAACACAATTTAGGGTATTTTGATATAACATCATCCAGTGGTTTCCTTCATTCTGTTACAATTTAAAATTTCAGAGAGGTATATTTTTGTTGTAACAGTCAACAAAGAAAACATTGGATAACCAAATTTTAATGAATTTATGTTGCCAAATATATTTGAATACTAAAATTTTCTGGTGGAAATATTATTAAAGACTGAGATCTTTGGATTAGTACTCTAAACATGGCTATATATTTTTATCTTTTGATGCTGTTTCATTTACTCTGCAAACATTGTTTAAGCTTATGTTTGTACCAGACATTGCTTTTCTTTTTTTTTGGATTTTATTTTATTTATTTTATTTTATTTTATTTCTTTTAAGTTTCAGGATATATGTGCAGGATGTGCAGGTTTGTTACATAGGTAAACTTGTGCCATGATGGTTTGCTGCACCTATCAACCCATCACCCAGGTTTTAAGCCCCACATGTATTAGCTATCTATCCTGATGATCTCCCTTCCCCTGCCCCCCGCTAAGCCCCAGTGTGTGTTGTTCCCCTTCCCGTGTCCATGAGATCCCACTGTTCAGCTCCCACTTATAAGTGAGAACATGCAGCGTTTAGTTTTCTGTTCCTGTGTTAGTGTGCCGAGGATAATGGCTTCTGGCTCCATCCAGGTCCCTGCAAAGGACATGATCTTGTTCATTTTTATGGCTGCATGGTATTCCATGGTGTCTACATTTTATTTGCCCAGTCTATCACTGATGGGCCTTTGAGTTAATTCTATGTCTTTGTTATTGTGAATAGCAGAAATTATTTTTCACTGGATCCTGAATGCTCTCTTTAAAAAGTATAAGATGTAAGAGTAACAGGTATATCAAATGTGTAATCACAAAGTGTGAAACATGTAATAAATTATGCAGATTCCTATGGTTTCGTTCCTTTGTAACAAACAGTAAGTGGTCTTCATTCTGACTTTTTTTTTTTGAGACAGAGTCTTACTCTGTCACCCAGGCTGGAGTGCAGTGACGCGACCTTAGCGCCCTGCAATCTTCATCACCCGGGTGCAAATGATTCTTCTGCTTCAGCTTCCCAAGTAGCTGGGATTACAGGCATGCACCACCACACCCAGATAATTTTTGTATTTTTAAGTAGAGACAGGGTTTCACCATGTTGGCCAGGCTGGTCTCGAACTCCTGACCTCAAGTGATCTGCCCGCCTTGGCCTCCCAAAGTGCTGAGATTACAGGCATGAGGCACCACGCCAGGCCTGTGTTTTTAATATACCTTAAAAATATACTGCACAAAATATATTTTAAAGATTATAGAATCTATACACATTTTTGGAAGATTTTCTATCCAAATGTTCAATATAATAGTTTCACACTTTCACAATCACACACACACACACACACACACACACACACGTTGAGGACTTTGGTTGGATGAATTGTTTGGTTCTTTAGTGACAGCAGTTAATAGAAGTGAGCTTGTGAAATAATTCTTCAGTTACCAATTTTTCCTACCTTCCTTAATCAGAGATAGGAATTCTTCCACTGCAAACTAAAATATAATGACCATACAATAAGAATTACTATTTTTTATTATTGCCTTAGTTTTCCCATAAGGATCTTTTTATGAGCTGAGACTCAACTGTCATATACATTTTCTTTTAAATTTTTGCATTTTGGGTACAATGAGATGAGAACAAACTGTTAGGCTAATCTTGCTACAAATTCTTTATGCTACTTACTAGCTCTGGGAATTTTGGCAAGTTATTAAAACTTTTTGATCTCCAGTTTACCTACCTCTAAAATGAAGATAAGGATAAATACTTTGCGGGATTGTTGAAAATGTTATGTAAAATAACACATGTTATATGCTTACATGCCTGCCATAAACTTCGGCACACAATGGAGTCTAAATGAATGCTCCCCTCCCATTTTAGACTGTTTTTTTTTTTTTTTTTTTTTGCTTATTTTGTCATAACTCTAATTGTAGGTTAATGCAACTCAAACAATTTCCTGCTCTTTTCATGATCACAAAAATAGGTACCATGACCATGTGCCACTTCCATAACAGTTTCAACAGCCCATGCTCTTTGTAAATGAAATAAGATACATTTAATAAAAAATTACTTCCTCACCATGAAGAAACAGTCATTGATACAGTTAAGTTCATTTTCTTTTTTTCCATCCCCAATCTCTAGCAACCATGCAGATTTTACCTTTGCTTTTCTAGATTCTTCCCAGAGACAAAGCTGCAATGCTAAATGTGTCCTAGAAGAAGCATCGTCTTTGAAAAAAAAAATCTTTAAGCAAGAGGTAAAAAAATAAAAGTGGTGGTGTAGGAAGTTGCCAAAGAACAAAATGAATTTCCTACTTAGCTTCATTTTTAAATAAAATATGTGGTTTCCACACTTCGAAGAAGACAGGATTTTACTTTTCAGAAACTAATAAAAAATACTGATAGCAAGCAGTGGTGTATTAAGGGTGGAGGAAAGAGGAAGCAGTCTGATATGGTACAGGTGATAAGAAAATGGATTCTTAGTAGATAATTTAAAAATAATAATAGTACTGACTAAATGTCAAACCAACCTGGTTCAACTTTTATGTCACAAAGTTGTGAGGTGGTTTTCAGTTGTCATGGATCCTGCAGGTTGAAGGTCACATAAACTGAGCATGCCCAGATGGACCAAGCCTGCAACCACAGGCAGAACCTAAGTGCTCTGATGGAAGAGTGGGGACTGAATTAAGAAGCAGACAACCCATGGCAGGATCCAGGATCCAATCAGATCGAGCCCTGGCTTGGATCAAGACCAAGGAACAATCAGACCATGCCTCATTGCCCTATGCTTGCAAAACCTCACCCAGCCCCTAGCTCTGGGAGACAGATTGGAGCGTTTTCTCCTGTCCCTTTGCCAGTCCACTTGCAGTAAACCTTTCTTACTGCAAAACCCAGTGCTTCAGTGTTGATGGATTTCCATTGTGTGCAGGCAACCAGGCCTAGTTTGGTTCAGTGACAACTGTAGTAATTATAAACAATGCCAGTGATAAAATTCTTATTCACTCTGGGAAGACTATACCTACCATACTACTTTTGTTATCAATGGTTCCAATTCGATAATCTCAAAATGTGGATATAGAAAGCATTCTTCTGATTTATATTTAGACAATGACAGTGGTCAGTGACCTGTGGAGGGTTACTGGGGTGTACATTAGGTAAGCTTATTCACAAAGATTACTTAGGTCCTATAAAGCATATTTTCGCAGTGAAAGGTATTACATATGGTGTTTTTGAATATCATATGCATACACAAAATATAGTTAGCTTAATTTGCCCTGGGCACATATTTTAGGTTCAATTTTTGCGAATGTGCTTGTCCTTGACAGTATAGTAAGGCAATATCATTTCATGCTTAATAAAAATAACCTACCTTATTCAATAACAGCTGATCCTATGGTTCAAGAAAGACTTCACAAAATGTATTGAGAGATGACTAAAATTTTTGTCCATTTACTATGAGACATCACTCCTAATTCATATGCCATTTTATAGTAGTTGAAAAATGTGTAATAAATTCATAAATTAAATACCACTCCAACTAAGAATAATCAATCAAAAATGACAGCTGATTGATTTCTTTTGTAAATGAGAATATACTTATTGTTTAATTGATTTCAATATGCTCAAAAGGTGATTTGAAAGTCATATATTCAAAAGAATATTGCTGCTGTTTTAGTGAGAATTTTTAAAGTTCAAAACTGTGACTCATTGACTGACTGGAGATCTTTCTTTTTTTTTTTCTGTCAAGAGAAGGAAATTTATAATACAGTCACTTACAATAAGAAAAAACTTAACTCAGGAAGACGTCTCAGTTTTTAATTTTATCAACAGTTTCTTCCCAGCTACTTTGGAGTTTGAATCAAATTATTTCTTTTGAATGAAATGTAGAATGCTTTCTATATCATGAAAAAAATTATGTGAAAATCTCCCTTGAGTACTATGATTACAGAATTTAGGTAGCATAATAGGCAGGAAACAGATGGGTTCACAAGGCAAGAATATTTTTAAATAAACATTAATACAAGTTGGAATAAAATTCTTACTAAAAATGCCATTTTAATTATGTTAACTGTTGTTGACTTTGCTACTTAAAACTATTTCATAGATTCTCAAAAAGAAGTAAGTGTTTAATTGGCCTTTTGAAAACACAAGTTATTTCTGTACTGAACTAAGCTAAGGCATAATGGTTAAAGATCTCTGTCTCTCTCTCTCTATATATATATACACACACATAGATATAGTGAGAGAGAGACAGAGAGGGGGAGAGAGAGAGTCAGCTTTCAATGTCTTCAAAGTCATATTTTCCTGGTATTAACACATTACTACACATGCAGATAAAATTGTATGAAATATATTTCTTACTCTGATAGAGGATTACATTATTATAATCATATACGTATGTTTGATTTTTGCCAGGAATGATTTTCATAAATGACTGACTTAGGTTAGGTCTTTATGATATAGGATAGTGGGACAGAAATGCATACTCCTTCCTACCTCATCTTCTATAATCAGGTTCAGTAGAAATATTTATAGGAAAGGTTTGAAAATCTAGCTTTCACATATGCCTCTATAGGTACTTTGGCAATATGTTGCTTATCAGCCCTGCACCTATTTTCCCAATGAAAAAATGTGATGAATTATACATTTTTGCACCCCAAGTTTGTGAGTATTAAATTAGTTATAATACATGGTGTATTTTGTGTGGTTAGCATTTCAAGTAATGTTAATTACTTCACCCTTATTAGCATAAAATTATAATTTGTTTTTAAATTCTGCAAAACAAAATTTTAATTTATAATCTTGAAACTCACTATTCTTTTGTATCTAAACCCATGTCTTCCCTCACCTTCACATTCAATTCTTTAAATTTTTTTCACTTCATTGGAATTTTCTACATTTCTACATTTATTATGGGGAAACAAATTAGACATCAGAGCATAGGACTCAGGCATACCTCATAGGCATAGCTCAGAAAATTCTCATGAAGTTTTTTTCTTTTCTGAGTCTTTTCATTTTTCTTTTCTGAGTCTTAAACTTCCCTTTACATAATAGGGCTAGAATTCTTGTTCTTCAATCTGCAAAATGTTACATTGTCGAAATTAGGTGCCTGAACTTGGGGGAAGACAGTGTGAAGGAATCCCGCCTACTTCTTACTTCTCTACAGATTGAGTCAGGTAATTCTCAGAAAGGACATACAAATTTTGATAAATATGAAGTATTGTGTTTTATGTGCTTTGTTAGCTTGTTGTTGCTTGATTTTAAAGCTGTAATTGATCATGTGCCTTAGATATTGAGTTTTTAGGTATGTATTATGGAAAACTCTAGATCATTCTAATCTATACTAGAACAAAAATGAAGTTAGTTTTAGATGTTTTAACAAATAATAAAGCATTTGACTTACAGCTGTACCATGAACAAGCAAATAAATAAGTAAAACATACCTCTTGGTGTACAAAATCATTTATCCAAATTGATAATGTCTGTCCTTAAGATAAGAGCCAAGACCCCTGTTCACATTTGCCAACTGATGGCTTGCCAACATTCCTTTTCCTCTGACAGCTTTAATAATATGCCAGTAGATTTCACCATTGAACAGAGCTAGAATGGGTACTGATTGTAACTTTTAAAATCAAAATAGAAGTAAAAATAGTGAATTTCCACCATGTATTTATATGTATTTCACTGAATTATCCACTCTGATTCCATTCCAATATTAAACTATACAAAAAAAATTCTTTCCAGTTGGACTATTTTTTTTTGTCAAAAACCTTGTAGGCATACCTTTCCAAGCTGAGAAGTCCAATTGTAATGTACCCGCAGATCCAGCGTCTGATGAGGGCCCTATTCCTGGTTTGCGAACAGCTGTCTTCTAGTTGCATCTGCACATGGCGGAGAGAAGAGAAAAAGTAAGCAAGCTCTAGTACTTCTTCCCTCTTCTTCCTTCTTCTTCCCTCCTCCTCCTTCTCCTCCTCCTTCTCCTCCTCCTCCTCCTTCTTCTTCTTCCTCTTCTTCTTTTGTTTTTCTTATATGAGCTCAAATCCCATTCATGAGGGCCCCAAGAACATTGTCTAATTATCTGTCAAAGAACCACCTACTAATGCCATCACACTGGGGATATGGGGTTTCAGTATATAAATGTTGAGGGGACACAAAAATACAATTAAAAACAATCAACAATTTCATTATTTGAGCCATCACTCAGCTGTACAATAGTGCCATATGTGGGCCGGGCGCGGTGGCCCACGCCTGTAATCCCAGCACTTTGGGAGGCCGAGGCGGTCGGATCACTAAGTCAGGGTCTCGAGACCATCCTGGCGAACACGGTGAAACCCCGTCTCTACTAAAAATACAAAAAAAATTAGTCGGGCGTGGTAGCGGGCGCCTGTAGTCCCAGCTACTTGGGAGGCTGAGGCAGGAGAATGGCGTGAACCCGGGAGGCGGAGCTTGCAGTGAGCCGAGATCGCGCCACTGCACTCCAGCTTGGGCGACAAAGCAGGACTCCGCCTCAAAAAAAAAAAAAAAAAAAAAAAATAGTGCCATATGTGTGAAAATGAGCTACAGTTAGTTAAGTGACACCTAGAAAGAATTGATTTTGTTTTGAATCAACTCAAATGATTGAGAAATTATTTCACATATTAAGTAGAATAAGTCTGCTCTTTAACTCTATTTGTAAGAATCTCTCACTTTTATGTAACATAGATGTAACTGTACTTGATAATTCACAATCCTCCTTTTTAAAACTATGAAGACAGCTTGTTTTGTGAATTAAAAATTTGGTCCAAGCCGAGCTTTAGTCTTTGGTTTAAAGTCCCCAATTCTTTCAGCAGTTTTTAAATTATGTGATTTTTAGGACTTAAACTGTACTATCTGGCTTTTTCTGGGCTCAGTAAACATTTATCATGTGGTATACGTGTTTTATGACATTTGAGTCACTGAAATAGGGTTAACCAGTGCTCTTTTAGAAATGTTTTGGATATCACTTCCCACTCTGATGTGTAGAGTTAATGGGTTACACAGCCAGAACATAAGATAGATGTACATAAAGAAAATATAAAAAACCTCTTGCACTTTAAAAATATTACAATTTAGGATTCAGACCCTGCTTAAAACAAGTCATAATGGCTGGGTCCAGTGGCTCACGCCTGTAATCCCAGCACTTTGGAAGGCCGAGGCTGGCGGATCACGAGGTCAGGAGATCAAGACCATCCTGGCCAACATGGTGTAACTCTGTCTCTACTAAAATACAAAAAATTAGACGGGCGTGGTGGTGCGTGCCTGTAGTCCCAGCTACTCGGGAGGCTGAGGCAGGGGAATCGCTTGAACCCAGGAGGTGGATCTTGCAGTTAGCTGAGATTGCACCATTGCACTCCAACCTGGCGACAAAGTGAGACTCCTTCTAAAAAAAAAAAAAAAGAAAGAAAGAAAGAAAGAAAACCAAGTCATAGTCATAACTAATACCCTTTACATTAGCTATGAATAATGTATAATAATGACACACAAACATCAAAAGAAAAAATAAGCATGTACAGTTTCCCCTCTAAAATAAATTATTGTGTAATTTCAAACAGATTAATCTTCGCCTTTTTTTTTTGTTCAGCCCCAAAGACCTTTGATCTCCAAAGTTTTGACTCCTCTAGTATCAGACTCTGTGAAAACCCTCCTTGCATCTGCTGCTAGGTTAGCTGCATTTAGTTCACTCACATGTCTTACCAGAGAAGGGTTGTAAGATGGACTGTTTCAACAGCTTCTTTCTGTAAAATATTAAAAGAAAATGAATAAAACACCTTGTAACCACTATCTATTAGTGTATGTTTAGCTACTCAAGAAAAAAATCATGTTTTGACAATACTCCTTACCTCTGTAGGTTAATAATCAGACACCAAAACATTTTATAAAAGATCGCCTGCCAATAGCTTTATAACTGAATTGTTCCTCCCATCCTTACAAAAAAAGTTACTGAGGAGAAGGCATGAGTTTCAATATTGACAAAGTAAAATTATTTTTTAAAGGTCACAGTGCATTGAAGAGAGAGAAGAAACAAGAAGCATAATTTGTGGAAGCTGAGTGACAAATAGGGTATACAATTTTCTAAGGGTCAGACACTAAAGCTAATAAATGGTAGAACTGAAACTTAATGAGATTTAATTAGTCCCAAAGTACATTGTATTTCATTGATACGTAGTTACAAAGATTCTGAGTCTTACAACTAGAGAAAATAGGCATTCCTCTCAAAAACTCAAATCTGAATTAGATCAATCAGAAGTCATATATTTAGCTACCTATCAATTTAGAAGAAATGTAAGTAATAGAGTCACATGGCATATGACTAGACATTATGAAATAAACAAAATTATTTTCATGACAATGGCCCGGCTCCTTTTAAAAATGAGTCATAAGGAATAGAAAGCAGAATGCAGGGTTAATTTACTGAATAAAAAAGAGGTAGAGGCACATCAACTGATTGTATTATATGAACTTTTTAGAAACAATTAAGAAATAGATGATTAGGGAAACCTAGAAAACTAACTCAGTTGATAATACTAAGGAATTGTTGCTAATGTTTGAAAGGTTTGATAAGATGAAGTATGTCTTAGAAAAATATTCTATATTTCTTAGAGATATATACTGAAGTAATTTGCTGCTAAATGATATGAAATTGAGATTTTCTTTAAAATAATCTGTTTACTTAACCAAGTGATTAATTGGGTAGTATCTCTATAAAATCAAGTTGGCTGTAGGTGATGGGTACATGAAAAGTCTTTATAATATACTCTGTACTTTTTTGTGTTTGAAAATTTTCATATTAAAGATTGACTTTAAAAAGTGTCTTTGTTTATAGAAGCATTGACAAGATATTTATGTATATATTGCTAATAAAATATGTCAATTTCCTGATCTGATGCGGGCCATCATTTTACTAGGCAACGTTTACAACTCTTTGAATAAGACTATTATTTCTTAAGTTTCATTGTGCTTCTATCTACCACATTTCCTATTGTTTTGGTAACATGTAATCAAAAGTAAAAAGGCAGTTTCAAAACCATTTTTAAACAATGAGAATATTTCCATTAATAAGATTTTATATCACAGACATGAAGTCACAGTCTTGTTTGGTGTGGTGGGGGTGTCAGATATTCTGTCTACATTTTTCTATTATTAGAATGAATGTCAATACAGAGGAAAGGTTGTTCGTGCTGTCACAGGGCGTATACTTAGACTACATCTGAACATTATTTTTCAAGAAGAGTGTTCAATGATTTGATCACTTGTCAGAAGCATCTCACTGAAAAATCTTGCAAAGCCTCAGGTTTCTTTTCTTTTCCATCGGAAAAACAATGAACAAAGGCCTCAATCTTCAGTGTGGTATATTGAAATCCAAGTATTTTTTAGAAATCTTTCTGAATATCGGGAACTATATAGAATTTAGTTTCCCTTTTACCCACCTCCATCATCTCCATTACTAATTTTATTATTATTTTGTTACTATCACGTGCTTAATCTGATTTAATCCAATTTTGGGGAGATTAGAAGGAGTTGTTATATAATTCAGTGGTAAGAAACTTTAAAAAGTACTCTGTTACCACTTTATATACCAGACAATGCTGAGAAATATGTTGTGGATAATATTTTTAAGCGGATGGTATCCATCCGCTTGGTATATGAACAATTTTTCCTAAAATTGCCTTCTGTCATTGATTGAGCCATTCTGTAGGTGAAAATGAAGCTTTGAAAAGTGCTATCTGTACAAAAGATATCACAGTATAACTTCTTCTACCTCAGAAGAATAGTGGGTAAACAAATGAGATAACCAATGTGAACATCCCTTAATAATTTCAGGAGCAAGGTGCAACAAGAGTCCAATGTATTATTATATATTATAATTTGTCAGATTCATAGGAGATATATTTATATATATGTATGTATATATGTAAATACAAAAAGAAAGGAAACACCTTTTCTATATTTTAGAAAATTTATGCCGTCTTATACTTCTCAAATTTTCCACACGAATGTTGTATGAATACATTCTTGTGCTGAGTTATTTCATCTTCACACATGTTCTTTATACCTGATGGAGGAAAATCTATGTATATTTGCATAGACTTGGGAAATATCAGAATCTTTGGCAAGTACAGATTGGAGATGCAGATCCAACTTTTCCACTTCTAATGCAGAACCACAAACATGTATGTTTTTTACTTTGGTACATAATAGGTGGATACATTTAAGTGTATTCTCTTGGGCTACTCACTTGGAACTTGACATGCAGAATTAGATTTCTTGGAATAAAAGACATAAATGGGTTATCAGAATTTATTAAAATAATTTTATAAAACCTCAGTTTTAACCAATGGTTATATCTATAGAAAATTACACTGCATTTACCAATTTAAAAATATAATAAAGGTTTTAAGCAACCAATTCCTACTTCAGACTAAATAATAAGACGTATCTGCCTTTGTCCCCTCAATTATGTCCTTGTTACAGCCTGGTTTTTTTTGTTTGTTTGTTTTAACTTGTCTTTTGTAGAAACTTCTCATTCATTAATTCAGTTTTGTATCATGATTATCTCCCTACAAAAAAAATAGACTTAAAAATATACATATGCAACTTTCTTACATTGAGGTATAAATCATTGCTAAAATCATTGGTAGGGAGATTTGAATGTTAAAATGGATCAACAAATTAAACTTGTTGTTCTGCATGATTGGTGAATTTTTACTTTGTGATTGCAATTTAACAACTACATTGGGTGAAATAAATTGGAAAGGGGCAAAAGTAATATGGAGAGCTATTATTTTTGGCCATTGTGTTTAATTATTACCAAATTGTACTGCAAAGATTTGCAAAATGCAGGGGCTCCATGAGTTATCATCAAAAGAATTGGGGGACAAAATACAACAAGACATATCATCCTGAAATTTCAGCATGCCATTTTTAGCTTTCATAAATGCTTCCAGACAAGGGAAAATATTTTTATTTTATTATTATTTTTTTCATGAGGTAGAATGGCATTGGACTGGTCAATAGGATCTAAAAAATTTGTAAGACAATTTAGTTTATAATTCTGAAGGTTTGTTTTTCAGATTTCCAATTTCATTTTCAGAAACCTGAGCAACTAAGAAGCAAATAAGAAGTTAGAATTTTCCAAAATGTAAGGCTGAAAAACATATTTTCTTTATAACCTTTCTCACCAAAATACAATTTTGATACTTGACACATATAGGATTATTGTAGGATATAGTATTCTCAGAAGAGTTACGAGTGAAAATTCAGGTAGGAATAACTGCCTAGTTTTCCTTTCTGCACACATTTGTCTTGCTTTTTATTCTCCTGCCTGTAATACTATTCTTTAAACGTACATGTATCTGTGTGTATGTCCCTGTCTGTATATAGGAGGAATTTTTTAGAACATGCTTCCAACCTGTCATCCATTCCTATTTAAAAGACATGAAAAACCATCCTTAGAACTACACTGAAAATAAAACGTCCACCATACCAGACGTCTCTCTCACCTATCTTCATATGTATTGTGCTATATTTAAATCCCAACACTTAACACTTTCAATACACATACTTTACTGGAAAAGGTGCTTTTGCAAAGGGTGGGGGCCAGTAGGTGAATTTATGCTGAATTTGGATACCTATGAAAAGCAAATTTGCAGGACATCATCTAGACCCCACAAGGGAAATGAAAAAATAGAGCTTCAGAAACTCTTCATATCAGAGCTGTTGGGTTTTTAATAAGACAATCAAACCAAACCAATGAAACAAATCATTATGTCAAAACCTGAAGCCAGATTTTGAAGCCTGAACCTAGGCATAGGGAACAAGGCAACTAGCTGCCCTATTGGCTGTACCAAAGGCAAGTGTTCTACAAGTTGTAACTTGTTCAGATCATAAAGGTGAGAAAGTATGGATTATTTTTTTCTTTGTTTTCAGATTACATCTTCCATATTTTCTAGCAGCAATAATGGTTTATTATTGTTTTCTAATCTACTGATATCTGGAACTATTTTATAGTAACTTGGTTTGAAATGCCATTATGTCATTAGCTAATGGGATTTGCAATTTTATTCTGGCCACTTACTGATATAATCATTACCATTGCCTCCTCTGCACTTCATTATAAACACAGACACCTTCATGATTTTTAAAGTATAAAATCAACATTCAAATAGGATTCTCTTTATTTAAATAGACTTATTAGAAATTTAAAGCAGATGAAGATGATTTCAATGAAATGAATAAATAATTAAGGCAAATCTCTATACTTGTCAGAAACTCCATATTAAGAATCAGGTGAGGGGAGACAGTCTTCTTACAGAGCTGTCATTTTTTTTAGTTAAAGGTAATGTTAATTTTTTTTTAATCTTGATGTTCTTTTCAAGTTTGCTTGATCAAACCAAAAGCCCCCCAAAAAAGCTGCCAGATAACTTACATAGGTAATAATCAGAACCTTTAATCACACATAAAAGGAGACATTCAATTCTATGTTGCAAAAATCATCAGCTGGTTGGGAAGGCATATTTTTGTACTTCAAGCAGTTTTAATCATTGATCAGGTTATGAAATAAAATAACAGATTGCATTTTACAAACTGGTCACTAGCAATGCCTCGTCAGCAGACCTAGACAATAATCCCAGAGTGTTGCAGGACCGCAGCCGTTAATAACCTGGCTTGTTAGTTGAAAGCTGGCAAAGTCTCAAGCATTTAAGAGGATTACTGCTATAAGCCATATTAATTTTTTTTCTTAACATTCAAGTCCATGGTGATGAAGAGCTACTGTAATAGAAATAGTGAAGTCAAACACAAAACAAAACCCTCTGCAATTCCTCCTTTTTTTTTTTTTTGGTTGATGACTGATTTTACAAGACGAAAATAAAAGTCAGACTTTATCACACTAAGTTGGAATGTTAATTTTTGAAGAAATATTTTTAATTGCAAATTCTGCAAGATAAAATAAGACATTTTAGAGAAGCCTGCCAAAAGGATTTATTTCTATTAAGACTTGTTCAAACAGATTTTTTTTAAAAATTGGCCTCTTTCTCACTTACTATAGAAAGAATTAGGCAGAAAGCCCAATAAAATCAAAGCTTCCAACTTTTGACCTCAACCAAATTTATCAATCTCATGTCACAGGCGGCAGAGCATGAGTTAAAAATATAGATGCTGGGCCAGACTGTCTGGGTTTGAATTCTGGTTTCATCAACTTAGGACAATTGCAAGGTCTTGAGCAAATCTTATAACCTCTCTATACCTCAGTTTCCTCACCTGTGAAATGGAGAAAATAATAGCACCTAACTCTTAGAACTGTTATGAAATCACATAATTTAATATTTGAATAGTTCATAAAGCAATACCTCATGTATAATAAATACTATATACAGTTTATAAAATATTAAAATGAGGATATAAATTTTAAAAAATATAACTCAGAATCACAATAAAATAAATAAATGTTATAATGTAATGACCTTTGCTGGTAGGATATAAATCTAAATTAGAAAATAGTTATTCAATCAAAATTATTCAAATAATACAGTGTTTACAGATATAGACAAAGTCTAATTATGTATACCTCTGAATTTACAGTATGTAAGATAATTTCCATATAGTCACAGAAAAGTTATGTTAATTCCATTAACTAGAATTTTTTAGAATGTTTATTCAGCTAATTTGAAAATTCTTAAGTGAGAATATTATGCACTATGCTCAATATTAAGGCTTTGCTGGACAGAAAACTTTTTTTTAATACTCAAACTCTTAAAGAGTCAGCATACCAGAGGTTCTTCAACATAAAAAATGCTCATTAGTTTGTTTTCACACTGCTATAAAGAACTTCCCTGAGACTCAGTAATTTATAAAGGAAAGCAAATTAATTAATTCACAGTACCACATGGTTGGGGCGACTTCAGGAAAATTACAATCATGGCAGAAAGGGAAGCAGGTACCTTCTTCACAAGGCTGCAGGAGAGAGAAAGGGAAAGTGTGAAGGAGGAACTGTCAAACACTTACAAAATATCAGACCATGTGCGAACTCACTCACTATCATGAGAACATCATGGGGGAAACCACCTCAATGATCAAATTAACTCCACCAGGTCCCTTACTTGATATGTGGGGATTACAATTCGAGATGAGATTTGGGTGGGAACACAGAGCCAAACCATATCAGCTTAGGAAACAAACCAGCAACTTGTTAAATATACAACCTTGGCGATTCTAACTCAGGTAATACGTTATTAAGTCCACGAATCTGCATTTTAACAAGAGTCACAGAATATTTTAGAAGTTCTCTTGAGTACATACTTTGAAAAACAATGTATTGTCAATTATCACCACTATAGAAAATATTAGTAATTTTGCTGATTTTATCTCAAGCCTACAAAACACCATGTAATTTAAATCGACACATAACATCAAATTTTCCCTTAACTTTTGTCTCCTTTTCAAAGGGTAGACAGAATAATATTAGCAATGAAATAAAACAACATACGCTAGTTGTTAATCTTTTGTGGTAATTTAGATTTTGACCACATTATTATTAAGAATTTGGTGAAGAGAGAGACATAAGATATGATGAGACTGTTTTATCAAAGATATAAGAAAAGAAGAACCAGTATATTTTATTAAACCTAATGAAAATCTTTATTCATATAAATTATGCTACCTTAGTCATTAGTTATTAATACTTCTATATTTGAATATAGTGATTACAATTGAGCCCCCTGGAGAGTAATTCAAGTGCAATTCAAATTGTGTTTTTTTTAATTTATTTGAAATTGTTATAATTTTATGCACAATATTAGAAAAAGTTGAAGAAATGCTTAAAGTTACCCCACTATTCAACTGAATGGAATCAATATGAGGCCTGGTGCAGTGGATCACGCCTGTAATCACAGCATTTTGGGAGGCTGAGATGGGCAGATCACTTGAGGTTAGGAGTTCGAGACCAGCCTGGCCAACATGGCGAAACTCCATCTCTACTAAAAATACAAAAAAAAAAAAAAAAAAAATTAGCTGGGTGTGGTAGTGCATGCCTATAGTTCCAGCTACCTGGAAGGCTCAGGTAGGAGAATGACTTCCACCTGGGAAGCGGAGGATGTAATGAGTCAAGATTGCGCCACTGCACTCCAGCCTAGGCGAAAGAGCAAAACTCTGTCAAAAAAAAAAAAAAAAAAAAAAAAAGGAACAAATATGTTAGTAAAGGGGCCAGAAGATTGAGAATAAAAGAGATCAAATGCAAATTATACTATAGTTTGTTCCCATTAAAATTTTTGAGTTTATGTGTCTGTATTCTTAATGAGTTAATTTATACTTATATTTTTAAACAAATTGTGTATTTGTTTAGAAGATAATCCAAGCATTAATTAATCAATACAATAATTATCTATCAGAATCACTGGCTTTGTGTATCTGACAAGGAGATAACAAACAAAGAAAGGGAGGCTTGGACTCCACATGCTCTGCACCAACTTGCTCAGTGACCTTATTTGAGTCAGCTTAAATTTTGAAGATGTTTCCTTGACAATAAAAAAAGAAAGCTAACTTTGAAGGTATTTTTCACCTTTGTGATCCTTTTTGCCCCAATTATTTGTGGCAATTGCTCCTTTATCAAAGGATTTGTTCACTATAGACATAGTCAGCTGCTATGGGCATGACCAGCCAGCCAGTCCTTTGTAGTTCTATTATCTATCATGCCCAATATAATCACTGAGACAAAATTTAAATAATATTTGTTGACATTTATTGTTTATACTCTGTCTAGATGTGCCCTGTAGTATTGCAATTAATCTTTACAACAACCCTAAGAGGTGTTTATTTCCATACTGTTTTTAGATGAGATGAGTATCCGAGAGATAAAATAATCTGTTCGAGGTTACATAGTTCATAATTGACAGAGCCTAGGTCTCAATCCCACACCTCTGACCATGGAAGCCTTCTCTAACTACACTAATACATTGTACCAAACTGAGAATCAATATGGCACATTCCCAGTCTTCAGCTGGTAATTAAAAAGTAAGCAAAACTGTCTTATCATAAATTAATTTCAACCTTTTCAGATAATAGGAATTACAATAGAGACTCCATTTATTTATATGTGCTAGTTTGGGAAATTCTCTTTACAGTCTCTTGTCCCAATCTACCTCTCCAGCCTCCTCTTCTAATGCACTCCCATGTACGTCTAGAGCAATTCCAGTAACACTGATTCCTCATGATGCCATGAATATTCACATGACTTTGATGACTTTATTCATGATTTCGTATAGAACAGAGATTTTCTATGTATGGAATTTTTAACTTGCTTTCCACATCAGCATCACTAAACTTTCATCTTCCAAGTTGTCTTCTTTAAGACTCTATTTAAATGGTATTCTAGTGAAGGGTCTTCTCAACATTGAGTTTATTTTCTACTTTTGTTATTCCCTCTGCTCATATGCACTTAGTTCATAGCACTTTTTTGCACTTTCTTTATTTTCTTATAATTAATATATTTAGGCAACTCCCCCACTGGATTGTGACCCACTTGAGGCAGCCATTGTATTTTACATAGAGAGCAAGTATTTCACCTCCTAACACAAGACAATCAAGTGGGGTTGGAATAAATAAATAAATAAATAAATAACATTTATATTAACAGTTAAACACTTTTCAAATTCAAATCTGATAATTGTGTAATTGTTTATACATTTGTTTGTGATGCTGTCTCAACTCCCCTCCAATATCATGATTCATAATGTTGAGATTACATTTTACCAGAAGTATCTTTTGTTAGAAAAAAAAACAGATTTTGTGAGCATGTGATGATCCTATGATATTTTTAAACTAAATTGGGAATACCCAACAGTCAGATCTTGTTTTCTAAATATCTTTCTCCAATAAAAGAAATCAGAGTTTCTTAAAGAAATGTTTCATTCTAGAATTAGAACAGGGAACATGTCATATGAGCCTGGAGCATCTTTCAGTACTAAAATGTCACTTCACCAGACATAAAACGAAACAGAGAGAAATAGAAGAAGCATAAAGTCATGTGAGTGAGACACAGGAATGACAGAGTTCCAATGGACAAAGCTAGAACATGTGAACACCAAAATAAATAGGTTAGTAGAAGATTATAACCCAAAGTATAAAATAAATACACTTGCTATAAAAATGATTGAGTAAAAATATGGAAGAAGGAGCAAATCTATGTAGAAGCAGTTCAAATAACATATAGACATACTTTCCCATTCAGGAGTTGGATGTTAGTTCCTCTCCCTTGAATATGGATTAGACTTAATGACTCACTTCCAAAAAAGGAAAAGCACTATCTTTTCGGTGGAGAAACTTGGCAGCCAACACTTTAAATAAACTGTCATCATTTAGATAATCAGGATATTATCTAATGTCATGCTGATGACAGGTCCAACCTGATATGATGCTATAACAAAAGGGTCTTCCATCTCTGGGGTATTCTTCCCAGAAATTTCATAAAGCTAGTCTAATCATGAGAAAATATCAGATCAACCCAAATCAAAAGACAGTCTACAAAACACTTGACCAGTGTATTCAAAAGGTGTCAAGATTATGAAAACAAGGAAGACACAGAGAAATTGTCCCAGACTAGACTGTGATGATAATGACTAAAGGCAATGTGGTTTTCTCTATTGGATTCTGGAATAGAAAGTGGTCAGTAGTCAAAAAACTGATGAAATCCAAATAAAGTCTGTAGGTTAGTTAGGGGAAAAATTGTGAATAATTCTCCTGTTCAATTTACTTTTCAATCACATTTTTGTGTGTGCAAAAATCAAAGTAGGAGGGCATTGAAGGAAATAAGTGAGCTGATTTAGCATCAAAAACACGTTTTCTTGAAATGTCAAATTTATCACTATGGTTGGTCCACTGGCCTCACTCTCTAGATAAGGTGCCACATTACTGTATGGGTGCAGATAATAGTAAGCAGACCACTTTCAATGGGCTATAACTTGAAGCTATCAGTTTGTTTCACATAAAAACTATTCTTTGGAAAAAGCTCCAGAGAAGAAAGAGCTTGCAAAGTTAAGAAATATCTTTATTTGCCTCCTGCTTTTCTATCAGCCTCTGGCTGATATTCAGAAAGGACAAATATTTCCAGAACCAAGTCTCACTGATAGGGATCTGAGAGATTTCTACTCCTGAGAGAGAGGCAGCCCCCCGATCTTCAGTAGCTTGAAGGATGATGTATCTTTTGTTCTCGACTCAGTCTTAAATTTAGTCAAAAGACATCTTTGATTTAAGTTAATGAAAAAAAGTGAGTTTGTGTGTGTGTGTGTGTGCAGAAGTAGTATATGACTCCTAAATAATTTTATTAGTGTACTTCTTGAGCTGATACAATATTTCTTTCAGAATGGGCAAAATACAAGGGGCACTCTGTAAATGAATATCTACAACCATGTATCATAGTGATTTCTGTGCAAAATCCTTTTCCTGCTGATGAAAGTATGATAATTTCTTTATTCTTTAAGTTGAGCAATATATGAATTACTACAAAGTAGTTACCTGTAAATTAAATTTTAGTTAAGAACCTAAATTTATATTTAAAATTAATATATTTTTTCTTCTTTATATATTTACTGATGTTTTTAAAAAATAAAATATACTGATCATAATATAAACAATTTTTTGACAATTTGTTTTAATTATTACTAAACCATTAGACTGAGTAGTTCTTATACAAATGTATTATAACATGTAGAGGACTAGGTAAATGACAACCTATTATTTTAAAATAAATTTGTTTTCATACATCATAATAATACTTTTTAGTGTTTATTATACATCCAATTTGTAATTAAGACTTATTTTTTAAAATTTTAAGTAACGAAGCACCCTGAAATTATTTTCATGTTGTTAGAATCGATAGCAACTATATCAACTAGTTAACGAACTAGACAAAACCATATACGTGATACAGTCTATTATTGTTATCCAAACTGTTTTTGAACAATTTTAATGTTAAGTAGCTAAATTTTGAGTCAGTCAGTTCAATTATTTATGTATCTCTTACTGTTAATGATTTCTTCTTTATATTGACTTACCACTGCCATCAATACCTCTCCTATTTCTCTAATGTAAATATATGCAGATATTTATAAAAAGCACTATAAAACAAAGTGCTTGCCCACAATATAATCTTTCCCAAATTGAAATAATTGTATGTATGTTTTTTACCTTGTAAAATCATGCTGCTTGACATAATATTTTAAATTTTATCTAGATAATATATATATATATATATTTTGTTGTTTATTTTCTTCCCCAACATACTGCTTTTTTTTTTTAAAGTATTGTTTTCTATAGAATTATGTTTCCATCCTGCCAATAGATACTTATTTCTGGCAATGTAAGGCACTACTGGAAATAATCTGAACTTTGAAATGAAAGGAACAAAATGAAAACCCTGTTTCTGTCACTTACTAACTATATGGGTAAGGAAAGTTAATTACTTCACTGCATCTCTTTTTCTTAATTTCAAAATTATGAATATGATTCAACTCAAAGAAACATTGTTTTGTGACTGTTTTCATGATGTATTTTCAGTGATCTCAAACAGTTAGTGCTCTTATATAAGTCACATCCATTTATTGCTTGGGGAGTTTTGAAAGCAAAACCATATATATAAAAATATATGTATATATCATATTCATATATTATATTGTATATTCACATAATATATTAAGAATACATATATATTCTTCAGAGAATTTGGAGATTCTGTTTATTATTCTTACATCAATTTGCCAAATACCATGAAAATCATGAGTTTCCAAAATTTGTCAGACTATAATATTCAATTCCGTAAAATTTTCCAGAATTCCCAATTACTGTATTTTGATCACTTTGATGGAACCTGCATCAATAATGAGTAAGAACTTTAACTATAATTGAGACCGGGTGTGGAGATTATGTGGTTTTTCTCATTTATCTCAAGTGGAATTAACAAATTTAAAGTATATTTTGAAATCCCATAACAACTGTAGTGTGCTGTCTTCTGAAAGTCTTCTATAAAAGTTTGTTGAGAGCAATGACCAGGAGATATTCTTCAGATGTTCTAATTTTCAATAACTTGAATATTTGGTCTCATATATATTCAGAAATATATTAACACTTTTTCAATGTACTCCTAACTAATTAACATCTTTCTTCCTTAATAAACAAAAAATTAGCAACCTAACTGCTGCTTCTTTAACTTATTCTTCCTAAGAATAAACAATGTATATGTAATGTATATTAATCAAACCTTGTTAACATCATTCTAATAGAAAAATTTATGAATGTAGTTTTTCTTTCAACATCCAAAATCAAATGTATCAGAGTATATTGATAAGTATTTCATAAATGCACATTGCCAATACAATTAAAGTTCTTTTCTCCAAAATCTAATTTCAGAATTTATTGATAACTCAATTTAAAACAAAATTAAGTACAATTAACTTATCATTATATTTAATATTGATTGTAAAATCATAAACTATTGAGGTGACTATTGGCAGATATAGATTTATAATGTACCCTTTCACTTCTCCGTTGGAGGTCAAATCTGATTCTATGATTCATTTTCTGATTCATATGCCAAATATGGTATGTTATACAGATAAATTATATCTAAAATGCTAGTTCTTTACTGATTTAAGTAAAGTTATATGTGTTTTTCTCTTTTCCAGAGAATCAGACACATGAAAAATGATTTAACTATGTATCAACAAAACTGTTTCTTTGTAAGTCAATCCATGAAAAAATCCCATAAGCTATATGTAATGACAGATTAATATGCAGTATTTAAGAGTCAGATTACCTTGAGCCTGCAAGTCTGGAAAATGATTAAGCAATATATGGAAACATTCTGTTGAGGAATTCAAAGATTCAGTTAGGTCTGTGGATTAGCAATGACATCTTTACTACCAGTTTAAGTACAGGGAGCCTAAATTCTCAGCCATCTGCTGTTTTGGATCTGTTTTCCAAGAACTGCTGACATGATAGCTAACAGATTTAGAAAATATATTCAGCTTGCAGTGACCCAGTATGTGACAGTATTCATATGTCCCAATACAAAGTGGCTTTAGAAAAGAATCACGACATTATAATGTGTATCAAATTGCACCTGTGAAAAAAATTACTGAAATAATATTACTTTAAATAGGTTTTCTTTATTTTTAAATATAATTTCCCAAAACAGAGATACAGTGAATTGGTATTAAAAACTTGTTATTGATGTGTTTGTGGAGTAGCAGAGTTGCAGTTGTTTTATAATTAGTAGAAATCTAAACTTCTGGAGTCCTACTTTCTACAAAGTATTGAAAGGTTAATTTTACTTATCTCTTCCAAACCAATTAAAGATCTAGAAACAATTACTGGAACTATCTTTCATGAAAAATAGGAAGAGAATATTTTTTACTAAGTTTCACACAATTGATATTATGAAACAAAAGCAGCTCTTTTCATTACGTTGAATAACTATTAGTTATCAGAAGACAATAGAATATGTTAATTCAAAATGGTCAGGATTTTTTCTCACTTAAAATGAATTGAGAAAGGAGATTGATAAGCACTCTGAACTAACCTGGCATCAAAGAAAGTAACTTTTATAAAACAACAGCAATGACAATTAAAACCCCAAATATTCATAGTTCTCTATTTATTTTTATTTATTTATTTATTTATTTATTTATTTATTTATTTATTTATTTATTTTTGAGACAAAGCCTCCTTCAGTTGCCCAGGCTGGAGTGCAGTGGCCTGATCTCGGCTCACGGCAACCTCCGCCTCCCAGGTTCAAGCGATTCTCCTTCCTCAGCCTCCTGAGTAGCTGGGATTACAGGCGTGCGCCACTGCACCTGGCTGATTTTTTGTATTTTTAGTAGAGATGGGGTTTCACTATGTTGGCCAGGCTGGTCTTGAACTCCTGATCTCAGGTAATCCACCTGCCTCAGCCTCCTAAAGTGCTAGGATTACAGGCGTGAGCCACGGTGCCTGGCCCATAGTTCTCTATTTTTTTTTTTTTATGTGTCAGAGAGCCTGACAGAATCGAGCTCTCAATGATATTTGGTGAATGATTTAACTGCATAACAAAGACTCATATCCAGATATTTTGACTCAAAACTAATTCTCTTTTCCCCATTCTATATCCACCAAGCTCTTTTATTGTTTCATAACATGATAGATTTTATTTGTTTACTTGTTTGTTTATTGAAATAGACATGTTCTTGCTCACGTCTACTAAGGACCCTTTGCTGGGTAAGAGAATCAAAAGTATTAAGACATTGTTCTTGCTATTTGTATATGGAATAAGTATCAGGTGGAATCAGAAGACGTCGTCTTGACTCTGGCACTAAAAACAGTCCACTGGTTGTTCTTCCTGAAATGAAGGTTATTTCTTTGTGCCTCTGTTTCCGCACCTGTGAAACAGAATGATAGTAACTAAGCAGAACTCCTGTAAGAATCAAATAACGCATGCAATGGGCTGTTCACAAGGTAGAAAGGTATGCTCTCAAAGTGCTTACTAAATATTATCTATTAATGGTATCCTTAACCGCATTTTCAAACAAGAGAAATGAGACCTAGAGTCTTTGGGAGACTATTTTATATTCATATATTTACTTTGTAGTTTTGTACTCCTCTGTCGTATTAATCATTTCCTTTAATCATCACAACATTTCTAGAGGATAATATCACTCTCCCCAGTGCCCAAACATCCTCTAACTTTAGCTCATGTACCAGTAGTCCAAGGTATTGAAACTCAGGAAGACTGAATGGAGTTTTTATTCAAAACTGCTGCCTCCATATTTGTCTGTTTTTACCACCTCATAAGTAGTGATATGTTTTACAGATCTATAATATAGCAGCTTAAAAGGAAGACATGTTTTGTTAACACTTTTTCTTATAATTATTGGTAAATGTATAAGAGATTTGACCTAGAGGAAGAAATTGTTTGTATTTAATAGAGCAGCCATATTTGCCTATCCTGTGTATAAGTTTGTAGGCTGATCATTTACTATGTATATAAAACTCAAATATCAGTGAGGAAAAAAATGTTAAAATTCTTCCAGCCAGACACATATTAACTCTCAAAATAATTATAGGGAAAACATGTAACACTTAATCTCAACAATCTAACGTATTTATTTATATATAAGAAACATTCCTTCTAAAATATATCATGTGCTCTTCAGAAAAAAAAATTGTTAAATTTATGAAACAAATCCATTTCCCTAAGAATGTGTATGTTTATATTTCAATTTTGAATACTACTCACCTAAAAAACAAATAAAAAGAAACTCCTGATCAAATTTGAATAATACTCACCAAATTTACCCTTCTGCATACACAACTAAAAATATCAGATGAAAGATACACAACTATTTTTCAGACATAGGAAAACTGTTAGTGGAAAACAGAGCTCCCTTAAAAAAAGGGAAACAAACAATGTGAGCCTAACCTGCCCCATCGTGCTACCTGGTAGAATTTCCAAACCACAGTGGAGGGTTTGGAAATGGGGAATGCAGGTGGAGCATTGTGATCTTCCTGAGCAGAGAAGTTGGAGCTGGGAGACCTTGGAGTCCAAGGAGGCTGTAGTTCACAGGACAGAATATCCAAGAGGAGAACCTCCGAGATACAGAGCTCTGGAAATCCAAAGAGGGGCCCTCTTGAGTCCAACTAAACACTTTCCGAGGATTAGTATGAGAAAACAATGTGAGGATGGGGAGGATAACAACATGAAAGGAAGTGAGGAAACTTACTGGAGCTCACAGAGAGCTAGGAATTGTCTGTGCCTCAAAGGCCATATTAGAAAAATCTGATTATTTTGAAATATCAGGTAGAATACTCGTAAGGGAATACTCATTAGTGGAAATATTAATGGTTGGTCTGGTGTCATGAAAGAAAACTTAAAAGAAAGCCTCTCAAGCATGGTTTCTCAACAGTTACCCTATTAACATTTTGGACCAGATAATTATTTGTGTGGGGCTGTTTTATGTGCTGTATTTAGCAGCATCTCTGGTCTCTACTCACTACATGCCACTTGCAAGCAGCCTTACTATTTATGACAACCAAAAATGTCTCCAGAAAATGACAAATGTCCCTGAGGGGGCATCCAAAACATCTTCAGTTGGGAACCACAGCTCAAACATCAGACTCTTTTCAAAAAACTTAATTGCATCCAAGAACAACACCCAGAAATATTGATAGCAATGCAAAAATACTCAGCATCAAAGTAAACTTAATATCAAAGTAAAATTCAATATGTCTGAGATCAATTTAAACATCATCAGGCATGCAAAGGGACAGGAAAATACAACTCAAAATGAGAATGAAAATAAATTATTTGAAACAGGCACAAAAATAAAACAGATTATAGCAGTAATACATTAGAAATAAAAAGTTGTTTTATATATTTCATACATTCAAAAAGGCAGAGGAAATATTGAGCATATTAAGTAGAGACAGAAATGATATTTTACAACAAATCTAAATTTAATTTGTGCAGTATATTAGATGAAAAATACACGAGTGACATTCACAGATTATATACTGCAAAAGTAAAGATTACTGAACATGAAAAAAAAGCAATAGAAACATTCCAAAATTAAATAAAGAGGGAAAATAATGAAAATAAAAAGTGAAGAGAGCATCAGTAAACTGGGACAACTTCAAGGAGTGGAATACACAAGTAAGTGGCCCTAGGAAGGATAAGGGGGCAGAAAAAATATTTTAAGATGATGACCAAAATTTTTCCATATTTGATGAAAACGATAAACCCATACATGAAAGAAGCTCAATAAACTGCAAGCACAAGCATCAGAGAAGAAATTACATACATATGAAAGAAGAGAACAGTGACGGCCAACTTCTTATACTAAAAAATGCAAGCTAGAAGAGAGTGGAACAATATCTTTAAAGTGTTGAAAGGTAAAACAACCACAAAAACAGTAATTAAAAACGCCATGAAATCTAAAATTCTATATTCAAGGCAAATAAATTTTAAAAAATAAGTGTAAACTAAAGATTTTTTCAGACATGTAAAAAGTGAAATAATTTATCCCTAGCAGATCTGAATTGTAGTAAGTATTAAATAATGTATTTCTTGCAGAAGGAAATCATATCAGATGATCAAATAAAATACTCTTGGTTATTCTTTATTTTTTTGATCATTGTTTTGTTTTATTTTTTGAGGGAGGGTCTTGCTCTGTCACTTCGGCTCAGGTGCAGTGCCACAATCACTGCTGATTGCAACCTCCCTGGGACAAAGCAATCCTCCCACCTCATCCTCCCAAGGTAGCTGTGACTACAGACACATGCTACCATGCTTGGCTAATTCTTGTATTTTTTGTAGAAACAGGGTTTTGCCATGTTGCCCAGGCTGGTTTGGAACTCCTGGGCGGGCTGAAGTAATCCACCCACTTAAGCCTTCCAAAATTCTGGGATTCCAGGCGTGAGTCACGGTGCTCAGCCTACTGTTTTTTAATTACTGAAATTTTTACTAAAATTTTACTATAAATTACAGAATTTTAAAATTACTGTTTAAAGCCATAATAATAACAATGCAGACTGGGATTTATAACAGATGTGAAGGAAAATGTATTGTAAAGCTGTTTTATTACATGTGAAGAGGTATGATATTATTGTGATAAGTTAAAAGTGTATGCTATAAATCTTACCATAATGACTACAAATAAACAAAAAAAAATTACAGCTAAAAAGCCAACAAAGTAGATAAAGTGGCATTTTTAAAACCACTGAATTAAGGCCAAAAAAGGGAGAAAAGGAGAAAATAGGAAACTAAAATAAATACTTGTACACAGCTATCACAGCAACTCAATTTTTATTGGCCAAAACAAATCATATGTCCATCAACACACATACGTGCATTAACAGGTTCATCAACACTAATATGTCCATCAACACTTATATGTGTATGAACAGGTCCATCAACATGCATATGTCCATCAACACTCATATGTGCATCAAGAGGTCCATCAGCATTCATATGTCCATCAACACTCATACATCCATCAACACTCATATGTGCATCAACAAGTCCATCAACACTCATGTACATCAAGAGGTGCAAGAATAAACAAACTGTAGTATACGCATACAGTGGACTGGTACTCAGCAATGAAAATAACTGTACTAACGATACATACTACACATGGATTAATTTCTGAATAATTATACTGAGTAAAAGAAGCCAAATTTAAAAATAGTATTTGTACTATATAATTTCATTTGTGTACAATTCCAGAAAACGAAATGCAGTTCAATGGTTGTCTGGATACTGAGGAAGATTTGGGGATTGTTAGAAGTGAGAGATTCCAAAGGGCTGTAATAAACTTTTTGGTATGATTGAGATTTTCATAATCTTGATTGTAGTGCTGGTTTCATGAGTGTACATATATGTGTATACAAATGCATGCACTCATATATGTTTTGTGGGTATATACATATATAAAAACATATCAATTGATCACTACAAATATGTATAAGTTATTGTATCCCCATTATCACCTGTAAAAATAATAGAAATGTTCATTTTAAAAGTCCAGATATATATACATCTAATATATTTTTAATGAAATAGGAAGTTAAATATTGTATAATAAAATATATTATAAATATTATTTTACATAAATATCAGTATAACTTTTTAAAAATATAACCTTTTAAGACTACTTGGATTATTCTGAATATATAAAAATAAACAAAACCTCTCTAAAGCATTTTAAAATTATATTTGGTTCCAGAATTACTACTTGTTTCTCTCTCTCTCTCTCTCTCTCTCTATATATATATATATATATATATATGTATATATATATATAAGTATATATATATTTATTTATTTTAGAGACCAGGTCTCACTCTGTCACTCAGACTGGAGTACAGTGGTACAATCATAGCTGCAACCTCAAACTCCTGGGCTCAAGTGATCCTCCTGCCACAGCCTCCCAGCTACAGGTACACACTACCATGCCAGTTTGTTTGTTTGTTTGTTTGTTTGTTTATTTTGTAGAGATGGAGTTTTGATATGTTGCTTAGTCTGGTCTTGAACTCCTGGCTTCAAGGAATCCTCCTGCCTCAGCCACACAAAGTGCTGGGATTATAGGTGCAAGCCACCATGCCTGGCTATACTTTTATTATATATATTAAAATAGCAAGTCATTCTCAGTAATACACCACTGCTCTTAATCAATTTTACTTTAAAAAGGAAGCTTGCTAAATATTATTCACAATAATCAGAATACTTATTGACATTCATGAAGTTTGAAGGGCTTTGTTTTATCATCATTGTTTAATTTTTATTTTTATTTAGTACCATATAGCAGTGAAAATATTGCATGATTTTTTCTTGGGTATCTTCACTAGAAATAATTTTCCAATCTTTGACCTGAGGAATTTATTTTCCAGAAGCAGGCTTATTATAAATTACTATCTCCAATTTTCACTGAGAGTAGGCTTAATATAAATTATTATCTCAATTTTAGCACCAATCAGCAGCATAGTGTTTATGATAGCCACTGTTAAAAGAATATTTTTAACACTTTTACCAATAAATTAAGAAGAACAACAAAAAATCCTATGTGCAGGACAAAGTATGTGGAAATCAAAATCTGTTCTGATGTGACGGTTTTTTCCTTGCACTGTCTTCTTACTTATATGACATTAGGCAAATCCTTCCACTTTTCGACAAGGTGAAGATATTAATTTAGATACTAAATTGGCTTCCACATCACTTTTTTTTTGTTTAATAATGAAAGCAGTTAAGTTATCCTAGGTTGAAATCTAATCTTTGCCACTTACATGTGGTGTGACTATGGGAAAATTACCTAATCTTTATCAATGTCCTTTAGACAAAGACTACCAGTAGCACATCTAACAATACATACTACACTTGTGTTAATTTCTATGTTCAATGAAGCTGTGCTGATGAACCTGCTGCAACAAAGGAGAACACACATGAGAAACCGTGTGCATCTCAGTAAGAGGGTATCCAAAGGGACTTAATATGGGACCTGAACCTGCATTAGGTGTTAGGACAGAATCCAAGGAAATAAGGCTTTGCTTTGATTGAATATTGTCAGGAAATGGGGATATTTCTTGGGGATTTTGTTAATTCTTATCCACAAATTGAAAAGACCAGGGCAAGCCTAAAGCTGTAATTGGTAAAGAAGCAGCACTCCTAGGGGAATGTCTGGCCACTTTTATAATACAGATAATGTTCTTATTTTTGCCCCCAGTAAAGCATGATTATGAAATTTTATTATTTTTGTTCTGATCTACAATAGGAAGAGAGTAACCTTGTCTGATATTCGTATTTTGTGAATTTTTTAAAATGTTCGACTAAAGTCTTTTTGTGACTGTGAGGCCAACTTCTAGCAATGCCAAAATCTAATATACAGTGCCCAGCTTCTAGCAATGCCAAAATCTAATATATAGTTCCATGCCATTTTCCAGCTGTCATGGCCTGTTCTTATCTTTCTCACCTTTTCATATTGGTTTTCTCATTTGTAAATGTGGATAGTGATTACACTATAGTAAAAGGAATTTTTGATGAATAAACTAATAATTAATATGATGGGGTTATCTTTTGAATATAGTAAGGACTATATAAATGTTTTTTTATTTTACTATTTCCAAACTGTATTTATAAAAGGGAATTAAGAAAAGAAGTTAAAGAAAATAGTTGAACAAAGAAAAAGTATATCAAAACAAGCAAAGTAGAATTCTAGCATGCACTCTTCAAAGAAACTTTCAGAGAATCTCTACCATCAGCAGTCATCCAAATCAATCTAAACACGGAATCAATTTGTTCTCAACTCTTCTTTAATGTCTTTCTAGCTATGCTGTTTGAATTTTTAATATTATTCATTTGTTGAAATTTGCAAAGATAAAAAGTAGAAATGTCATAAGTCATCCTATATACTTTGAAATATGAACCATTAAGAGATCTATATGTCTATTCTAAATAACACAGGTAGTTCAAGGGAATGGTTTGTGAATTTAGAGACTGAAACTTTAAATTTGGGGTCGCTCAACCATTTATACATCTTGTTTTCAATGTTTCCTGAAGTTAACTTTGGTAGAAAGTGAACACGCAATCACAAATTCAGGAGTAAATACATATCTTTAATTTTGAGACACCATTTAGTGAAATTAACAAGGAAAGAAAGGAGTTCTTCTCTAGAATTCGTTGCATGTTCTTAGTGAAAATGTTGAAAAGTGATCTCACTTTTTATACTTTCCTTCTGATTTAATTTTTTTTTTTTTGCTACTCATACTTCTTTGGCTTCAAATAAATTTTATTTTAAGGAGAATGGGTCATATTTTCCACTTTATCAGTGGCATTATATTGTTTGATAAGAAAAATATACCAGACTTCCATAATATTTAAGAAAAATACATTTCTGCCTTAGATTTTTGTCAGCAAATGATAATAAAAGGTATGCATTATGCTGTGAAGAATACTGATCATTAGTGAAATAATAGTTGCGATCAGATTCAACAAAATATATTGGATTCATGGACTATTAAATATGCTTCCCTTTATTTTTGGAGTTAGGGCAATGTAAGTAGGTCATGTTTTGAAATATTTGTTATACAATAATGGTGATTTAGTTGTCCTTTTTCAGATATAGAATTTCAATACATTTACTCAAAATGTGGAGTAAGATAGAGTTCAAGATCTTAGATTCTAGAAACTATATAGCAGGAATATGACCATAGGCTACTTCCTAACAGCTGTGTGATTTGGGTATAATAACTTAATCTCTTTAAGCCTCATTTCTCCTTCTGAAAAACTGAAGAAATAACACCTACTCGTCTGAGTTCTTAAAAGGATTAAATAGCGTGGTGTGTCATTTTGGATTCCACCAGCAGCACAGTCAGGGACAAGTATCCTAACACAAGAAATTTGTCATGGTGGTAATTCCAGGAAAGTCTGGTGGAGACAGGTGAAGTGAGACTGAGAGAGGAAGGTGGCTAATAGAATTTGCACTATCTAGCAAACATCACTGAAGGCTGCTAGAGCTTAACTCTGCTGTATTGAACAAGGTCTTCAGAGTGAACTAACTGAAGAGCAAGGAGCCAGACGATTAGTTGAGGATGTTGGACTTTGTGTGTGTGTGTGTGCGTGTGTGTGTGTATGTACAGGTGCGTGTGCTTGTGCATGTACACTAATTTTCAGGTAATTCCATCCCAGCCGAGTGGGCTCTGGAGACAGAGAAAAGTCCTGAGGCAAAGACATATAGATGGAAGTCCAGTCTGTATGTTTTCAATGCTTCTCTACCCAGAGAGATATCCTGCTATGCATTGTAACATGCAACGCTTAACAGAATATATAAAAATAATAAATAAGTCATAGCTATTAGCTATTATTAAATAGTATGGTTTCTGAGATGACTAGGTATCCTCTTCTGGGAAATGGAGAAAACAACAGGACATTGTACAGGATCCTCTGCGAGATTTCGATGATGACATACATAAAATGTCTAGCTTACAGTTAATTAAGGCTTAGTGGAATTAATCCATGATATTTATATTTCATCTATAATACCACTTTATTATAATATGCTATGAATTCAAAACTTTGGTCCTACCTACAGTATGTACTAATAATTAAGCTAATTAGGCAAGAAATAATTCAATGTCACATGAATAACAAAGTTTTAAAGATCAAATGATAATGTAGTTACCACTACGACTCTTGTCAGTGTTGCTAGGTTAACCACTGCTTCTGGATCTGACTCAAAAAACATATAACAAAAGAAAAGTTTCACACAGTTTTTCCAAAAGTCTTCCTATCTAAAGTGGCCATTTTCAACACATCTCAAAAACTTTGGACTGCAAAATTTCTAAAGAAATTCCTGAAATTACTTGCAAGTAAAAACAGCGCATGTAATTTATCTTAATTTAAAACAATCAAACTATCTTACACAATATTGAATATTGAACACTAACTTGAAATGACTTTCTTTTATGCTATTTGTGGTTTTGAGTAATGTAATAATCATACATGCTTGGTACTTGTGATCTTTTGAAATTTTGTATTAAGTATTTTGTAGATTTTTTCCCCCTGAAACAAAAGGTCAAAAGGAAATCTTTTTTTTTCCTCTCAGGGTTTAATGATACCAAATTAAATTCTTGGAAGCCATAAAACCATAGACCCAGGAAATACCTTGGGAACTGTCTAGTACAAACACACCATTGCACAGATGAGGAAATTAAGGTCCAGAGGGGAAACATGCCTGGCCAAGGTTACATGGCTCATTGACATATTGTACTTAACTAAGTTGCCTCTGCTGATTCTTTCATCTTTAAAAATCATAATGAATATGTTTATTTCCTTTGCCTTGGAAGAATTTCTTAATATTTCTTAAATGTAGTGTTTTTATCCATTACGTAATAATATTACAATTGTATAGCAGTTACTCTGTGCTGGGCACTTTTCAAAGTGTTCTACAAGTATTTACAAGTGTAAGTGTTTTGCAAGAATTTACAAGTATTTAATGCTTACACTAATCCTATGAAGTTGGTACTGTCATCATCACCATTAAAGGTTGTGATTACTGAAGCCTAGACAGATTTTGTGACTTAGCCTAAGGTCACACAGTTAGTAAATAACAGAGCTAAGTTTCAAACCCAGGCAGCTTGGCTCCAGAGGCCATGTTCCTAATTATTACCCTGGGCTGCCTCTCATTACTCATACCAAAATCACAATAATGTGGATAAAACAAATTGAAGACAGGATGGGCATTTCCATTATTTTAAAAACATGAAAAACATCAAGATATCCAGAACCCAGCTTCTTGTAATTGAATATTTATTTGCTCAGCCACACTAGAAGAGTAACGGTTTTTGTTTGTTTTTCAAATTATTCATATAAATATGGGGAGCAACTATATTACTCATTTCAAAAAATTATTTTGGAAAATATTAAAATGTATATGGAAGTTCTTTATAAACAGGGAACATGCCTGGCCAAGGTTACATGGCTAATTGGCGTATTGTAAGCTCACACCTGTAATTCCAGTACTTTGGCAGGCTAAGGCAAGGGGATCCCTTGAGCCCAGGAGTTGGAGACCAGCCTGGGCAACACGGGGAGACCTTGTCTCTAAAAAAATACAGAAATTATCTGGGTGTGGTAGTGTGCACCCGCAGTCCCAACTACTTGGAAAGCTGAGGTGGGAGGATAGCTTGAGTCCTGGAGGGAGGTCGAGGCTGCAGTGAGCCATGATCACGCCACTGTGCTCCAACCCAGGCAACAGAGCGAGACCTTGTCTCAAAAAAATAAAAATGAAAATGAAAAATAAAATGTGAAGACTCAGGTAATGGTTAGTTATTATAAGCAGAAAAAATAGTATAACATATGATATACAGTTAATACTGCATGAATGGTAAATATCATTTGAAACTTGAATTTTTCACAATTACAATATGTATTTGATTGAAAAATCTATAGGTTATAGAACATAAACAGAAATACTGGAAAGATAATAGAAGAAAAATCATTCCTTTTTATGGAGACCATGGAAGTATGTCCTCTTCGACTGCACCTCCACATTCATTCAAGCCAAGCCATGCTTTACCCAGCTGCTGAGGCAATGCCTGAGCACAACCTGAATATTAGCACTGGCATTCTTGCATGACGTGGGTCTCCTCTAAAAAACCACTTTCACTTTGGAGTTTCCCATTGGCCTAGCAAAGATTTTCTCAGAACTGTGTTGAAATCTGAGGTCTCAGGCTTCTCTTACCTGATTCTTTCTTCCTTCTCTTCTTTCACAGGCGTAGACTGCCTCATGGTCTTGAAGACTCTTCTTGACTTCTCCAGCTATCTCCCCTTTCATCCTTCACAGACCTCCCCCCATGAACTTCTTGTACGTTTAAACTAATCTTAACAATTACTTTTTAGATAATTCAAACTAAGTGAGCTATTATACCACCATTCAGAGAGGACTTGCACTTTCATTTAGTGTGTATCTGTGGGTGCTGGGGCCAGCTCACAATGGCTTGCCAGAACAAATTATGTGTATCTCTTTCCACATCTAGTAGCTTCCCAGACTTTACATTAGTAGCTTGAAATTGTCCATGGTAAGAATATTTACAAATGCAATTTTTTTCTCTCCGGGTAAGCCATTGGTTAAACATTTACCAACATACCACGTGTGTAGATATTTTATGTATGTGAAATAATATACCATTTGTTAAGCTATTTATTCCAATTTTAAATGTATGGTGAATAGTTTTCCTATGTCAATAAATATTCTGCCACTAAATTATGTTTAGTGGTTTCATATTATTCGATCTTAACGATAAAGTATACCATATTTAGCTAATTTTCTAATGCTGAACATTTATTTCCAAATATTGTAAAAAAGTATTCCAGGGTAAGGAATATTAAACATTTAACTTTTTTTGGATTATCCATACAGGTTAATTTTTTAAATTTAAAGTTAAATAGTAAAAACATAATAAAGGGTTGTGTTATAAATTCCAATGGTTACCACACAGAAAGTTTGAATCAACATAGCAAATGTATGTTAATGATACCAGGCTGCTCTGTTCAAACCTGACCCTGCAACTTGTCAGTCATGTGAACTTAGGGACTTTGTTCCTCAGCTGTTTTTTCAGCAAAATCTATTTAATAATCAAATGTACCTTATAAGGTTTTTGTAAGTATATAATTAGTATACAAAAAAGACTCAGAAAAGAGTTTAGCATATTCAGTAACCACTACAGATCTCCATGTTATTATTATTATCAAAATTATTATTTAAACATAATCCAAATAATTGATAAATGGAATTTTCGGGTATTATATTAGGCATTAGCCAAGAATTTCATATGCGATTTTTGTTTTTGTGTGTCTATCCTGGGGTGAATAGCTAAAGAGATAGTACTTATAACTAGCTTAAAATCACAATAAATGTCAGGAATTATTATTATACTGACAGTATACACACTTTATTGGCCAGAAGTTGCCACAGGTGATTGACATCTTTATTCTACCAATAATGTATAAGGGTTCAGGAACCCTATAAATACTACTTATTTTTAAAAAATTAGTTGTATAAATTATTAATTATTGTCCCTGCTCTGAAGAAGTTTATGAAGGCTAAAGCAGTTATCAGCAAACTAGGACTTGTAGGCCAAATCCATGTGGCCTGATGCTTTTGTAAATAAAGTTTTATTAGACCACATCCACACTCATTTTTTTTTTGTAATGTATCACCTGTGGCTGCTTTTGCCATACAGCAAAGTTGAAGAGTAGCAACAGAGATTATATGGCTTTCAAAGCATGAAATATTTACTGCCTGGCCGTTTTCGGAAAAATTTTCCTACTGCTCTAATGACATGGAGACTGGAGGTATGGAAATTAACCAACAAACACACAGCAAAACAAAACACAATGCGATCATCTGAGATTTCTATGAACAAGAGTAAATTGATAAGGTTAGCACATATGAAGGGATTAACTCTAGTTGGGTGTTGACAAGGAGAATTCAGATTCTTTGCAACAGCAAACAATGTAACCTAATTATAATATCGCTAATCACTTCAGTGACCCTAATTCACAACTATCATGCATTTAAATTACTGGTAAACTCCACCAGTTTAGCAAAACCTAGAACACTACTTAAATTAAGTTTCAAAACCTTAAGGCATTTTTTCAAAGAAACATGACCTAAAATGCTGTTATGCTAAGGTTTTAAAGAAGAGCCAAGTAAAGAATTAGAGTAATTATGTGGAAAATTTGGGCAAAAACCACACATTTGCCTCAATTACAAGCAATTTTCAAAATTACTTTGCATGATATAATTTGGTAATATATGAGGTTAAAAGAGAAAACATTCCTGGGAAAAAAGGCATTCTTTAGAATTGAGTGCTTTTGTAGTGTAATGGCTGAGTTTAATTTTGATATTAATGCATACCAGTATTTTTAATATAGCACCATTAAGGGTAAGAAGTAAAAGATGGTAGTGGTATCAAAACTGTGAATTAATTTCACCATTTCCATTCTTATACAATTGTTTCGTTTTTAGTTGACCTCTGATTATCAGTTAACTAGACTTTGTTTATCCCCAACCAGAAACCAAGTGGAAAAGGTTTTATAAGAAAAAGTCCTGGTCTTCTTTTTTAGTTTTTTACCTTTAGAGAACAGACACAAAGAACAAAAGGCCACTTCTTAAAAGATTCTCTAGAGGCAATCCTAAAAACCATATATTTCTATATAATTTAGGTTTTTAATCACAGTTTTAAGTTAATAAGTTAGACTAACTCAAAAGCCTTAATCTACACTGTGGTATTGAGAAACATGCTTCAGACATTTTTCATTTTAATTTCTTCAGTGATATAGAAAGAAGGTTTTTCCTTTTACATTTGTTGAAGAGTATTGAGGACCTTAATGTGCCATATTGACAGAGTAATAAAAATAGCAAATTGCATTTCAGGCCTTGTGCCAACATCATTAAACTCCCAGTCATACCCAAAACAATAACGGGGCTAAACAAAAGCCATAGCTCTCCTCCAGCTTAACTCTGATCCCTGTCGAACTGTGGTCAGTAGCCCCTGCCTGGGCTTCTTTTTTCTTTGAACTCTTGAACAACTGCTCCAGGATATTTTGACTTCAATTATGTAAACAGCTTGTCCTTCCTTTGTCCCAGGTTTGTTTGTTTGTTTTTCAAAGGCTTTATTGATAATAATACCTGTTCTATAAGTTGGCTGCTTAAATGTTTACTAAGATAAAACGATTGAGTGCCCCCTCCCCTACCCAGCCACCCTACTCTTTAGATTTACATGTGAAGAATTTAAATGTGCAAGAATTAATATACCTTTTAGTTGAATCAGTGACCCAAAAAAACCCATTCCACAATTTTAATACTGCACTTGTCCATGGCAAATTGAGCAATAGAAGGGACTGTTTGATCCACTCTACCAAAATACAACTCTGTAAGATATCAGAATACATTAAAAAGTAAATCTTCAATGTAGTCCACTCCATTTAAAGTCAATACATCAGAAAAGGGTAACATTTTGTGGCTAGAGTCACACATTGCTAAAATTTTATTCCAAGAAACATAAAGTAATAGTTTGAAAACCAAATTAAAATTTGAATTTTTTAAAAAAGAAGATCCTCTTAAAAAATTTTAGTATTTTAAAATATACAAATAAGTGTTTTCATATTATAGGCCTTAATTCAAACCCACATTATAGGATAAATTAAGTATTTCAAAATTCAT
This sequence comes from Homo sapiens, assembly GCF_000001405.40. Lineage (NCBI taxonomy): Eukaryota > Metazoa > Chordata > Mammalia > Primates > Hominidae > Homo > Homo sapiens. The sequence goes on along the minus strand of NC_000013.11, from coordinate 70,732,100 downwards.
TTAGAAATGAAGAAACTTTTAAAACTTTCATTTTTAATAGGCATTTTGTTTTTTAGATGGAAAACATATTCCACTTATACAGAACCATTTTTAAAGAAAATAAGTAAGCACCAGTTGAGTTATTAGGAGAAGAGCAATCAGAAAAATCATGCCGTATACAATCAGGACAAAATTTTGATCTGCTACTTTTTTGAAAATTCTTTGTAATAGAGAGTGGTTTAGTATTACTGTTCGACATTACACCACGCCATCTTCAATTGCTTTATACAATATCTCAGGAAATGGTCCAGCAGGTTTGCAGTAGCTAAAATGAGATTCATCTCCAATATCGATTTACTTATCCCATGACAGCATTCCCATCTGGAAAGTCCTCAGATCCTTTGAAATCCTCATTTTTGTTCAGTTGGCTGTGAACTTAGCTACTTGCTCTTTCACAATTGCAATATGTGGGCAAGATTTCACTAAATTTCTTAATGAGCCATTTAAACCAACCTACAGTTAAGGACCTCTGAGAACTGTTAACTTAAAATTTTCAGATAGTTTTCTCCCCTCTGATTTAATAAAACTAATTAGGAAATAATTCAAACATAAAGAAAAGAACAAAAAATTGAAAAATACTATTCTGGCATCTTTTGCATGGTACAGGATGATGTACCTAATACAAAACTAGAATTCTAATTCAGCATGGCTGGACCATCACATACATCATGGTGTGTGATTAGCATGTGCTATGTCTGGGATGATAAATCAGTCTTTGATGCAATCTGCACTAAAAAGCTATGTTTCCATAGGCTGGATTTTTCTAGCCTAAATAATGAGTCAAAAATGGGATCAAGTTATCTTACTAAATCAGAAGATAATTACAAAACATGGGAAGAAATTATAAAAAGGAACAACTAAAAATGTCTTCAGCTAACCATGGGAAAAAAAAAAAAGAACAAACAGTAGAGAGAAATCTGAAGATCAAGGATTAAACAACAGTTTAGAGAATCAGCTCAGGTTATCCATGGCTTTAGTTTTAACAGAGTGGGAGCAAGGGACTTAACAAAAACTACTGCTTCCATTGACCTAGAACGGTTCATCTTGAATCAAAGTTAAAGGCTTAGTGAAACTTAAGATTAGTGAACAACTTTTTCAGAGACCACAGGAAAGGAGAGCAAATCCATCCAAAAGAAAGGTGTAGTGGTTAAGACTGAAACCCTCTGGTTAAGAAGATTAATTGCCTATCTCTTAAGACACTTTATTTTTTTAAAAAATTAAAAATACCCTAAGAGTGTTTTGTTAAGATTAAATGTCTTTGAATGGGTTGGTTGGATATATCCATAGCCAGTGCCTGTGTGGAATGACAGTTTTAAGATCTGGATAAACATACTCCCTTACTTGCTTGACAGAGTTAAGTAGACCAGAAATTGATCACACTGAACAGAAGTATACAAGCTTTGTGAGGTAGATTTCTGTTGGCATTGCCTAGCATCTATTTCCCTTGTTCTGGTAAGACTCTTTTTCCTGAGGCCTGGTCAACACAAACATGCAATTTCTGGCTATAGTTCAGCTATGAGTTCATGACTCAATTACGGCAGGAGTGAAATGGTGAGTCTTTTACTAGGACTATAGAAAGAGGATTGCTCTTTTGATTTAAAAAGGTGAACCTGGATGTTTCGTAGGCCACACTAGAGCCTGAGAATTAAATCTGGCCAGAGAAAAGAGGAGCCAAGGTATTGAGAGAAATGGATGTTGCTGGTCTCAGAATCGAGTTAGACCTAAATATACGACCACAGAACTTTTTACTTGCCCAAAACAAACAAACAAAAAATCCCCTTTTATTTAAAATTTATACCGGAATTTCTCACTTTTATAATCAAGAGTTCTGATGCATATGGGAACCAGAACTAGTGAAGACTTTGCTGAATTGCAAAATGATGCCTCATATAAATAAGGTTGCTTCTAATTAGTTTCATGCATAAATGTAAATCTAGTGCATAACCAGAAGTGCTGCACAAAAATACAAATCTAGTGTTGTAAAAATTTATATTTATTAAGATAAGCTAAAAATATAAATTTAATATGAATTTTCCTGAATTCTAAATGCTGCCTATTAGCTAACATATTTAGGAATACTGTGGAGACTTAAAGTCATGGTGTGAATTTTGGGGTGATTGTGGATCATATTGGCTCAATAAATACCAATCTGGGAACTTCAGAGAAAGAGCTCTTCAAAATTCTTTATAGAGTCCACTGGAAATACGAAAGTATGTTCCCGAGGCTATAGCCACAGAAAAGAGCTAAATCTCAGCTTTCAATATTTCACAGGAACATACAGGAGTATACTGAAATATATAAGTAATAACGCAAAGCCTAGAATTAACTTGTTCATTAGGGCTTCAGTTACATCTTGCTTCAAAATAAACAGCCCCACAATCAAGCGGCTTAAAATGATAACTATGTGTTATCACTTAAAAATCTGTGAATTGGTTGAGCTCATGTGGACAGTTCTGCTCCATGTGGTGTCAGCAGGAGCTGCAGTCATACAGAAGGTCCTTTGGACTGAAATATCCCAGATGGCTTACCCACACAGCTGGTAGGTAGCTGGTGCTGGCTATTAGTTGGTACTTCAGCTTGGGCTGTTCAGCAGATACTTCAGTTCCTTCATATGGCCTCTCTTTATGTTTTCAGCTTCTTGGAACATGGTGGCTTGTTTCCAAGAGAAAGCATTCTATGTATGCAAAAATGAAAGTTGCAATTTCCTATGTCTCAGCCTCAGAATGTACCCATTATCATTTCTGCCATATTCTATTGATCAAATCAATCATAGATTTACCACATACACAAAGGGAGGGAAAATTAACTCCATATTTTGATGGGGAGAGAAGCAAAGAATTTGCAGCTACCAGTAAATTTGGTCCATTTGATGTGCTACTCCTTCATTTATTTATTTATTTTGTTCACTTAGTCAATGCACATACACTGATTGTCCACAACATTTTGAACACTTATTTAGATAATAGACATACAGATTTAAACAAATGATTGTGGTTTTATACTCAGGGCATAGAAATTCATAACCACTCCTTAGTTTGTTCCTAGAAACTGTTATTCTGAATGTAGGATCTATCACTGAGAAACCCTTGATAAAGCGTTAAATGCATGGAGGATAATCGCCAAATTGCATGATACTTAATAAGTTGTTTTTTATATAAATCCACACAAACTTCTAAAATTCAGTGTATTGATTAGATATTGCCACAATAAAATGCAATGTAGCAGTTGGCTGGTGCCACAATACAGTTGCATAACAAACCACCGCAAAACTCAGTGACTTAAAGAAAGAGTAACTTATTCTTGCAAGAATTGAGTCAATTTTTTTTTTTTTTTTTTTTAAGAGACGGAGTATCTCTCTGTCGCCCAGGCTGGAGTGCAGTGGCGTGATCTCGGCTCCCTGCAAACTCCGCCTCCTGGGTTCACCCGCCATTCTCCTGCCTCAGCCTCCCGATTAGCTGGGACTATAGGCGCCCGCCACCACCCCCGGCTAATTTCTGTATTTTTAGCAGAGACGGGATTTCACCTTGTTAGCCAGGATGGTCTCGATCTCCTGACCTCGTGATCTGCCCACCTCGGCCTCCCAAAGTGCTGGGATTACAGGCGTGAGCCACCGCGCCCGGCCGAATTGAATAAATTTATTCATGCATCTGTGGGTCAGCTTGGACTCAACTGATTTAGCTGGGGTTGGCTGGGCTTAACTCCAAGATGAAGTTGTAATCCAGGTCTTCTATGTTTGTCTCTCATACTTCTTAGCCTAATCTACTACTTGAGGGATGTTCTTCTCTTCATGGCAGTGATAGAAAAGCAAGAGGGCCAGTTCAACTGTACAAGCCAGTCCCCAGCGTCTGTTTACATATGCCTGATAATATTCCTCAAGACAAGCCTGCCATGTACCTCAGGGAAACATCAATTGAGCAAAAAAATTTTACTCTATCTGTAATAGAAAAATAAAGAATTGAGAAAAAATGGAGCAATGTATATCACAGGTGAAAATAAGTTGTTAACTAAAGACTTCATTAATCACTATTCCCCTGAAATTTTTAAAAGACTACCAAGGAGTGAATTCTATTTTCCTATTACTTTTTCAGTATACATAATCAGATGCCTATTGATTAAAAATAATTTTACAATCAGTTATTAGCATTATGTAAGAAAACATTTTTGTGATCTTACAATTAATTACATGAAATTATATTTTATATATCTTATAGATACAACTTAAAAGTAGACAGAAGTTTGATATCAAGATACAATTTCATTGTGGGTCCTTGATTTGGAAAATTAGGTAAAGATCAAGATGAGGAGGGGAAAATGTCCTTACTAACAGTAATAAATATTTTCTGGAATTCCCTATTTAGGGCTTATATACTTATAGTCTGAGATTCCTTAGTAAGTGTTTACTATGAAATAAACTCTATCTTAATATCCTTCTATAGTGAGTAATACAATTATGTTTCCACAACTTCAGCTCCTAAATTGTTCTATTTCCCAATCTGTTAACAATCCAAGCAAATTTACAAAACCCTGTGAAATTGCCATCTAATTCTCCAGCATTTAAAGACGCTTGAGGATCATAGGAAATACTGCACATAAGTAAGTATAATTTTTCTTTAACTATAATTTCAATAAAAATGTGCAATTCTGAATATTAATAAATTGATCAATAACACAATGCAAATATACAAACAACATAAGTCCATGGATTAAACATTATATATTATTTTTTAAGTGCCATCAATCTCAGTTCCCATACTATGAAATTCAGTAAAAATTCATTAGTTGTTTCTTGATTTATTCTTCTATAGTTTTATGTACATTCATGATGATAATTATAAGTGTTTGTATATTTATTACATAATACATAATAAAATATTGTATATTATATAATATATAAAATATAAAATTATAAGAAATAGTAATTATTATGACACTGAAACTAACATATAGCTCCTGTACCAAGAGCAGTGTCTGGAGCTTAATCCTCATTATATTGGTGTCATTATTATCAGCTTTTTATTAATGAGACAACTATGACACAGAAAGTTTTTATATCTTGTACAAGAGATCACTCAGAGAGCTAAGTGGTAGAAGCAGGATATAAACTGAAGAAGTCTAGATCATATAAATATATACATGTATGTAGATAAAATCTCCGTATTTTAAAACTATAGTATCATATTTTTACTGAATTATTGACTATTTCTTGCTGTTGGAACTTTTTTTTAATAAAGCTCCAAGTTCCATAGATTTCTATAAATTCAATAAAGTGTTCATACTTAAAGATAAGTTTCCTCACTGGTTATCACAGTTCTATGAAATTTGTATGGTTATAGCATAATTTAATTAATTCATCTCTCATTGAAGAATATTTATATTTTTTCAATCTCTCTGGTACAAACAATAATGTAATAAATCTTTATAATGTCTTTCACATTTAAGAGAGAATCTTTGCTATAAAGTTTTTGCTAGATCAAAGAGAATTTTTAAATATAACATTGACTGATATCATCAAGTCACTTACCATAATTAATATGTAGGACAACTTGTTTTCCCACAGCTGCCCAGAACAGTGTTTTATCAAATACAACTTGTATGTTTTCTGTCTTAGAGATGACAAACGGAATCTCAATGTGTTTATATTTAGAAATGTTCCCAACATTGAATAAGGTTAAGTATGTTTTTACACACATCTTCAAGAGTAATTGTATTTCCTTTCCTTCTTATTGTCTCTTCAAATAATTTGCCCATTTTTCTACTGAACTGGTCATATTTTTTTCAAAGAACTATTTATACATGAAGGAAATTAGCCCTGTGTGATGTTTTCAATTTCCCCCACCCTCAATTTTCATTTATCTTATGATTATTTTTCTATTGCTCAAAAGATTTTTGTTTTTTCTTCCTTTGTGCATTTAAATATAGTCAACTATATCAATCTCTCAGTTTATGACTCTGAATTTTGGGTCATGTTTTGAAAAACTTATCTCAATCTGAGCTTATAAAATAATTTCCCCATGGATGAATCTAATACTCCTATGATTTCATTTTATTCTAAAACATTTAGTCCATTTGGAATTTATCATTTATTCCTTTTGGAGTTACCATATATTTTAATTTTAAGTCTGATATTTTCAGCCAGGGTCAGGCAGCCTATTGTATTAAGTGAATATTAGGACCTACTTTTTTTGTTGAGTCTTCAAAATTCTTCTTAATTTCACTGACATCTTAAGAAGTTGTTTTATGTCCTGTACCTTTACTGACACAGTAGTTAGCATCCTTCTTGTCAACTTTTTATATGGTGAAGCACAAACTTTTACAAACAAATAATAGTTGTGATTGAATTTTACTTATTATTGAAAAATTGCTGTTTTTAAATAATAATTTTTCTGTACTATTCACTAAATATCTTTTCATTCATTGAATCCTTAATTTATCCACAACCATAAGTTGAATTCTTGTTATATATATATGGGCTGTAGTCATACAAATATAGATGAGACTCAGAACTCAAATATGTGAAAAACAAGCGAATCAGTAGTTTCTACTCTTTGGTTTCTGTATTCCTATAAATTGTAACTTGTAATGACTCTCAAAATTAAATGTTGACAGTAGCATGCCAGATAAATTCACCAAAAATATCTAACATCTAAAAATATCTAATAAAGAGAAGGCTTTGATTAATCTTTGAGGATTAATTAACTAGAAAGTTATCAATCATTAAAATGATGTTTACTCAGACTAGTAACCAAGAACAATTGATGGCAAGATCATGGGAAATCCTTCTTAATGTCATAATGGAAGGTCAATTACTTGGTGTACTTTTTCTTCAATCAACTACGGTTCTGATGAACTATTCTTTTTCTTCATCATCATGAAATTAATGCTATGACTGCCTTATGTGGGATACGACATTGTACAAGATTACAAGATTACAGCATCACCTGAGAACCTGGTGAGATTTTGGGTTCTAGACGTGATGCTGCTGCAAGTTTTGAAATCTCAGGCAGGAGATCCTTCATTTGTAGACATGAATTCGAATAAATGATACCTAATTTCACTCTCCCTTTTAAAATGCTGTGATCCTTATCTTTTTTAAACATTCATCTGGAAACCCTGATTACTGGATAATTTAGTTCAAACAACTGAATTTGACCTCAGAATAAAATTGTTTTGAAGGCTTGTTTTCCAAAACATTGCATGAACTCTCATTTCTTTATTTCTTTTACTTTGACAAAACCTAAAACAATAATCATTTGAAATTCTACTCCTTGAGATAAGCCATAGGACATTAACCTACAAAAAAAGTAAATTGAATGGAACATTGTGTAAATAACAATGAAGAATCACTGCATTAAAATATAACTGAGTAATTTCTTAGCTTACAAAAATCTATAAGCAAATATCAACTCAGAAACTTTTCTCTTTCAGTTTTGAATTCTTCTAAAGATTCAAACTAGCATATTCTGCCACATCAATTTACTCTGTTTGTAGTAGAGTAACCTTACTGAACTTTGACCAGTCTATAGTTCCAAACCATCTGCTTCCAAAGGAAAACGATGCTTTCTTCAATGAAAGACATAAAAACACCAAATATATGCCTAATTGCCCAGCTGGCTGAGTTTAGAAGAAAACACTGCAAAGCTGATTGGTAAATTGATTTTGCCATTTGCTGTGGTTTTCTGCAAGCATCTAATCAATTGGATAGTTTGTGCTGACCCATTTTTGGGTTATTGTGTTCTCTCTGTAATATTTATCTTCAATACCATTTTAGCCTTATGTATTTTTATACATTTGTAAAATGAAAGCACTCTCCTTATGCTGATTCTAGAGTTTTTATATGCCAGGTACATATAATGCAGAGGTACACATAATTTAAAAAGTTAATCCAGTGTTCGGCATAATAAAAAGTTTCTCCATCAAGTATATTTAGTATAGGAAACAATTAATGTAATTAAGCTGAGGGATACATTTTTTAGATACAGTAGTATGAACACTACATCGATTATAAATTTGAGACTTTTTTCTCTTATATATTTGTCCCATAAATTCATAGATTCTAGAATTTGGAAGTAACCTTAAATGTCCCATATTCCAACAAGGCATCTAATGTTTGAATTCCCTCTACAACATCTCCACCATGTGGTTATCTGGCCTAAGTCACCACCAGTGAACAGGAAACACATTATGTCCTGTGGAAATTAATTTTATCTCTGTTTAGTCCTAACTATTGCATAGTCCCTCTTTATGTTAAATTCAAACTAATATATTCTAAATTATTAACAACTGGTTTTAATTCTAAACCATTAGTGCCTAATACAGTGAGCCTAAATCACTCATTAATGCTCCCTTACCATTAATAATCTTCTAATATCCCAAGAGAGATATCATTCGAATCCCTGTGCATTTCTGGCAGATATCCTCTGAACATTCTATAATGTGTTCATATTCCTATTGAAATGTGGAGCTTGAAGCTACATATTATGCACTAGGTGGTGACTGATTACCAGAGTAAAGGCAAATTATTACTTCATTTGACAACACTCTTGACATGAAACTTTCATTAATGCAACCCAAACAGATGTTGAAATAAACCGTACACTACTGAACTGTTGTCTATAACCCTAAATTGCTTAACAGATATATCCCTTTCCTGTAATTATGCAGTTTGCTTTTGGCTTTCTATACCTACTGGAGTACATTTAAGTTTGCTTATATTAACTATGAGCTATCTGTTTTATCCTTTCATTCAAATTAAAAGCAAAATGAATTTTATTTAAACATTTTAATTTCATATTTAATATCTATAATTCTATTAGTAGCTGCATATGACAGGAAAAAATGATGATTGCAGTTTAAACCAAATAAAAGTTTATTTCTTTTTCATGTGGAAAACATTAAGAGGTTCATAGTCCAAGAATGCCATAGTGACTCCATTGTGCCACCAGTAGCGCTTAGCTATTTTTGTCTGTTTTTATTTTCTTTAAATCTATAGTTATGCATGAGCTCAAGGAACACAAGAAAGTGTACCTATTATTCCAGCTTGCAGTGAGTTCAACTAAAATACGGGGTTCCTACTAAGGAAGAAAGAGAGATTACACACTCAGGAGGAAGGAAAGAATATACACTCTTTCCAAGCATACATGGAATATAAACAAGAGTTTTTAAATCTATTAGACAATAAATCAAATCATAACAAATTCCAACGTATTGAGAACCATAAAAAAAGATGTTTTATATTCACAAAAATTAATGTTTTAAATACCTGGCAATAAAATATTCTTACACACTCCTGGTAGAAGTTTAAATCTGTTTAACAATTTTGAATGTTATTTTGTTATAGAGTAATATTAAATATTTGTAACTTATTCCTCAACAATTCCATTCCAAGTAGAATCTCTTTAATTTCTTTGCCAGGAGACTTGCACTAAACTGTTTGTAATAGCCGAATACTGCAAAAAAGATTCCAACAACAGCAGAAAATATGAATGATTTGTCTTACATAGCAGGCATATCCACAAGGATAAACCTTAAAAACATGAAGCATCACAATAATTTAAAGGCATAAAAGAATATAAAAATTGTAAGGACGTTTGTATAAATAAATCAATAATATATAAACAATTTATTATTGGTGATACACATATGAACTGCTTTCAAAAGTTAATGAAACTGAAGGATGATGAAATCAGTGAAAAAGATTCTCTTTGGGGGAAGGGAGGGAGATAAAGACCATCGGGGACAGGTCAATGGGGAACATAGATTTGCTAAGTGATATTCTACCTCTCAAGTTGAGTGCCTGTTATATTGTTGAAAGTGTATGCATGCATTGCATATACTACTTTATATACAACATTCTTCACTGAAAACATGTAAAAGTCAAACAAAATATAGATATATTTTTATTAAAAGAAACATATGAAACAACATGATAAAGAAAGGTACAAATAAAGACACAGATATATAAAGAAAATGCAAACTAAACATAAGTAAGACTTAAGTATGAGACCACATAGAATTTAATATTTAAAGAACCTAAGTCATTAAAGGGACACATTATATAATAATACAAGGCACAATTTATGAATATGTGACAGTCCTAATTCTGTCTGGAGCAAAGAACACAGTCAATGAAGCAAAAACTATTAGAAAGGCAGGGAGAGATCTGTTTCAATATTTTATGCATTTATTGATGCTCCAGAATACCTGAACAGGGCTTGTAATACTTGTTATTAAAATTTGCTTTTTTTAACGAATAGAAGAGATTATTATAATGGAACATTTACTATAACCAGTGAATTCAGGAGGATTACTACAAAAAAAATTAACAATGTAATTTAAAAATCCCAGAATATACATATGTATGCATATACATATATACCTCCATTTTTACATGTATTTCTATGTATAATTATCTATCTATAAGACATGCTAAATTTTTTGAACCATAAGTATTTTAAAGGCCAAATGTGTGATTTTAACCTAATAAAATTTAAAACAAATAATAAAGAATTTCCCAATTACATTTCTGGATTGAAGCAAGAAACATGCAAAGTGATGTTACAAATTATTTAGAAAACAATTAACCTGTATTTTATACAAAGAATCTATGATTAGCTAAATGATAGAGAAAAATGTGAAGACATTATCTTTCTTATCAAGTTAAAGAAAATAGTGAAGTAGCTAAAAAATACTTCGTGTTATTTTACAAGTAGAAAGTGGAAATTCACAAAGATAAGAGCTAAAATTGAATAAATAGGAAAAGAGCAAAGATAAATATAACCAGTCTTTTTCTAAGTATGAAAATGTCATTTAAAGGCTTTGTGAGACTGAAGAAGCAAGAAAGAGAATGAAAATAAATTGTTAAGGGAAATTAAAACAAATATGATCACAGATAAAAATTAGAATAAAAATGCAACACTATATTAAAAAATTTTAAATCTAAAGTAACTGAATAATTTACTAATAAACTAAAAATACCATTATACATAAATAATAAAAATAAAATAGAAAAAATTGAAAATTTCATTTGAAATCAAGAAATATGCTAGAATAACAATATTTTGCCACTGAGTTCTATGTGAAATTTAAAGAATATAGTATTACAAATAGGGAAATAGCTGTGAAGTTACCTTATTTCTTTAATATACATGCATGTTATTCCAAAATAAAATAATGATGGAAAATAAATTCATAGGTCTGTAAACATCATTTAAAAGTATAAAATAGTAAATTCATCTTAATGAATACCAGGAACTTGATCAGAATTTGTTTGCTATTGTCATCATTATTTTTGTAGCAAATAGAATGAAAAACAAAATAAAATGTTTGCATCATAAAGTAAAAATATAAATATATGAGATTTAAATATATGATAGTCATAAATATGTTGTATTACTAAATAAAATGTTAGAGGAAAAAAAGGCATTCCTTTCCTGGTGAGAACATACTGTAGTTTGAAGAAGCCTAAAATACTCTGGGGGATTAAGGAATCTTCTAGAATTCACTACAGTGACTGAATATGAGGTAATACTAAAACATTAAGCTGTTCTCATAAGCACTAAACACTTAAGATTGAAATGTAAAAATTATTCTAAACATAATAGCAACGAAAAATGTAAACTACTTTGTAAATAATTAACATAGCAACATAGGTCATACACACATAAAATTGTGGTAACTGAAAGCCATATATTAAGGTAAGACCAAATAGTGATATAGAACATATTTATGAATAAAATCTTAGTGCCATAAAACAGAAATTCTCTAAACTCCAACTATATATTTAAGTTTATTTCAACTAACATTCTGACAGGATTGGCATTTTGGGATGGTGATGGTGAAAATTAAATATTATAAACTTAAACTCAAATGAAATAACTAAGATTTTATGGAAAAGGAAAAGTGAGATGTGTAGAAACAAATAAGTAGATTTATATATGAGACAAAATGCAGAGAAAGCAGTAATAGGACCAAATTAATATGAGAATTTAACATACAACAAAAATGTATTTCAATTTAGTAAAAAAGTGATTTAGTAAAGTTGGTGCTGCCATAATTATTTATAATTCTAGAAGCAAATAAACCTTGCACTGTATCTTACATTTTAAACCAAAATAAAATGCAATTATACTACATATATAAATTTTTGAAGGTTGAAAACTTAAAATTATAGAAGAAACTACAGTCAAATATACTAATAAGCACAGTGGACAAGAACATAACCAAGATGGTATAAAAGTATAAAAAACGAAACCTATTTATTCTTATGTAATTAAAAAAATGACAAAGGACATTATAAACAAAATGAATAGATGCATCATAAATTGGAAAGTAAATTCATTGCAGCGAAAGTGACAAAGTATTGTTACTTACAATAAACAGTAAAATATTGTAAATGAAAAATAAATAAAAGATAAAACAAAAATGGTGAAAGGAAATTCATAAATCCACAGAAGAGCAAAACAAAATATAAATAATTATTATACAGCAAATGTTAAAACTCACTATTTGTCAGAGAAATTAACATTAAAATACAAATAAGTTACTTATTTTCAGCTTCAGACCAGCAACAACAACAAAAGCTAGCAATAACACTCACTCCTTGAAAATATATAGAAAAGTATTATACTTTCATACTTTGGCAGTAGAAATGTATACGTGTAGCCTTTCTGAAAAGCAATCTGATGAAATCTATTAAAAAAAAACAACAGTTACCCTGCACCTCCAAAAATTCACAACTAGGAATATTGCACACAGAACTAATCTTATATGCAAAGACATTTGGATAAGGATGTTGTATTAGTCCGTTTTCACACTGCTAATAAAGACATACCCGAGACTGGGAAAAAAAAGTGGTTTAATTGGACTTACAGTTCCATATGGCTGGGGAGGCCTCAGGATCATGGTGGAAGGCGAAAGGCACTTCTTACATGGCAGTAGCAAGAGAAAAAATGAGCAAGATGCAAAAGCGGTAACCCCTGATAAAACCATCAGATCTCATGAGACTTACTCACTATCATGAAAACAGTATGGGGGAAACCGCTCCCAAGATTCAAACTATCTCTGATTGGGTCCCTCCCACAACATGTGGGATTTATGGGAGTACAATTCAAGATGAGATTTGGGTGGGAACACCGAGCCAAACCGTATCATTTCACCCCTGGCCCCTCCAAACCTCATGTCCTCACATTTCAAAAAAAATCATGCCTTCCCAAAGTCCCCCAAAATCTTAACTCGTTTCAGTATTAACCCAAAACTCCACAGTTTAAAGTCTCATGTGAGACAAGGCAAATCCCTTCTGCCTACGAGCCTGTAAAATCAAAAGCAAGCTAGTTACTACCTAGATACAATCAGGATACAAGTATTGTGTAAATACAGCAATTCTGAATTGAAGAAATTGACCAAAACAAAGGGGTTACAGGGCCCATGCAAGTTGGAAATCCAGCAGGGCAGTCAAATTCTAAAATTCCAAAATGATCTCCTTTGACTCCATGTCTCACATCCAGGTCACACTGATGCAAGAGGTAGGTTCCCATAGCCCCTGTGGCTTTGCAGGGTATAGCCCCCCTCCTTGCTGCTTTCACAGGCTGGTGCTGAGTGTCTGTGACTTTTCCAGGCACACTGTGCAAGCTGTCGGTGGATCTACCATTCTGGGGTCTGGAGGACAGTGGCCCTCTTCTCACAGCTCCACTAGGTGGTACCCCAGTAGGGACTCCGTATGGGGGTTCCGACCCCACATTTTCCTTCCACACTGCCCTAGCAGAGGTTCTCCATGAGATCCCTGCCCCTGCAGCAAACTTTTGCGCTGGGCATCCAGGTATTTCCATATATCTTCTGAATCTAGGTGGAAGTTCCCAACGCTCAATTGTTGACTTCTGGGCACCCACAGGCTCAACACCACGTGGAAGCTGCCAAGGTTTGGGGCTTACAGCCTCTGAAACTATGGTCCGAGCTGTACCTTGGCCCCTTTTAGCAACGGCTGGAGCAGTTGGGAGGCAGGGCACCAAGTCCCTAGGCTGCACACAGCATGGAGACCCTGGGCCCGGCCCATGAAACCATTTTTTTCCTCCTAGGCTTTTGGGTCTGTGACGGGAGGGGCTGCTGGGAAGTTCTCCGACATGGCCTGGAGACATTTTCACCATGATCTTGGGGATTAACTGTCAGCTCCTTGTTACTTATGTAAATTTTTGCAGCCATCTTGATTTTCTCCTCAAAAAATGGGTTTTTCTTTTCTACTGATTGTCTGGCTACAAATTTTCTGAATTTTTATGCTCTATTTCCCTTTTAAAATGAAATGCTTTTAACAGCACCTAAGTCACATTTTGAATGCTTTGCTGCTTAGAAATTTCTTTCCCCAGATACCCTAAATCATCTCTCTCAGGTTCAAAGTTACACAAATCTCTAAGGCAGGGGCAAAATGCAGTCAGTCTCTTTGCTAAAACGTAAAAAGAGTCACCTTTGTTCCAGTTCCCAACACGTTTCTCATCTCCATCTGAGACCACCTCAGCCTGGACCTTATTGTTCATATCACTATCAGCATTTCAAAGCCATTCAACAAGTCTCTAGGAGGTTCCAAACTTTCCCACATTTTCCTGTCTTCTTCTGAGCCCTCCAAACCGCTTCAATCTCTGCGTGTTACCCAGTTCCAAAGTAGCTTCCACATTTTCAGGCATCTTTTCATCATCACCCCACTCTCGGCGCCAATTTACTGTGTTAGTTTGTTTTCACATTGCTGATAAGACATACCCAAGACTGGGAAGAAAGAGAGGTTTAATTGGTCTTACAGTTCCACATGGCTAGGGAGGCCTCAGAATCATAGCAGGAGGCAAATGGCACTTCCTATTGAACCCACAGCATGATTCAAATAATCTCCCACTGGGTCCCTCCCACAACACGTAAGAATTATGGGAGTACAATTCAAGATGCAATTTGGGTGGGGACACCTAGCCAAACCATATCAGATTTGTATTTCAGAATTGTTTGTATGAGCAGAAAACTGAAAGCAAGGTGAACGTTCATCAGTGTTTTGATGCTTGACTGTATGGTGGCCCATCACACCATGAAATGACAGATAGTCATTAAGAAAAATAATAAATTCTAACACTAGTTGTTTGCAGGAAGGAATTCCCATGAGAGATTTTTTTACAAATTTTATTTTAGATTCAGGGGTACATGTGCAGTTTTATTACCTGGATATATTGCATAATGTTGAGGTTTGGGTACAGGTGATCCCATCACCCAGGTACTGAGCATATTACCCAATAGTTTTTCAGTCCCTTCCCCCTAACCCCCCTCCCTACTCTAGAAGACACCAGTATCTATTGTTGCCATCTTTATGTCCACGAGTACCCAATGTTTAACTTCCGGTCATACGTGAGAACATATAGTATTTGGTTTTCTGTTCCTGCATTAATTAGCTTAAGATAATGGCTTCCAGCTGCATGCATGTTGCCGCAAAGGACATAATTTTATTCTTTTTTATGGCTGTGTAGTATTCTACAGTTATTTTCTTTATCCAATTCACTGTCGATGGGCACCTAGGTTGATTCCATGTCTTTATTATTGTGAATAATACTGCAATGAACATACAAGTGAATTTGTCTTTCTGGTAGAACTATTTATTTTTCTTTGGGTATATACCTAGTAATAGAATTAGATTTCTCAAAGAACTTAAAGCAAATTTACCATGAGGTATATGAAAATGAAAGCTAATATGGGAGAAATTAGAAAATTCATTTTCTGCTAAGTAATAATACAAATATTATTACTTTTAAACATATAGTATATTATTATATAAGTATATAATGTAATATGTAATAATATACACAACTATATGAATGTGAAGCATCTTTGAACTTCTGAATGACATATTTGTGTGCTTATTGGAGAGTGGTTTGCTGTAGCACAAAAAGGAGAAGCTATGGCGAGAAGCTACCACAGTACTAAGTTGTATAGAATTATATTAATGGCAGCAGGAGTGATGAAAACTTTATAATTAGAAAATTATTTACATCTGTATTATTCAATAAACTTGTAAATTTCCCATATGTGGCTAATAAAATTGAAATTAAATAAACAAACAATTTAGTTCCTTGGGCACACTAGCTATATTTCAAGTATTCAATAGCCATATGTAACTATGACTACCATATTGGACAATAGCAGAAAATTCTGTTAAATAACATTGTTTTAGATGTCAGCTAGATAAACATTTGGACCAGTGGTTAGAAAAATCTAGAAAAGTTATTATATTCCATTTTTTAAAAAAAATTCAAAGATGTCCTTGGCAACATTTTAAATATTTTGTCTATGTTTCCAGACTTTATGGACCCTGTTGTATTTATGATGTTTATATCTTCAATGTATACTTAATGAAAGATCAAAATGAAGTAAAATTTTCAGTTTTGTGGATGACAGAAGTTTGAAAGCGTAATTTTGGCAGAGGTGGCAAGTAGCCTAAACTAAGACATATTGTCTCTGTCTCCTTTAGTAAGAGTAACCCTATTTTTAGTTTGGCCTATGAAACACCAGAATAGAAGGTATATAGTTTCCAGTTTTTCTTACACTGATATGTAACTATAGACTTAAAAGAAGAAGCACACACACATACATATATACACAACTGAGTCAGCTAGAAGGATTGAACTTTCTCTTTTTTTTATTTTTCTTTTTTGGGAAAGCACCTTGGAGGGGATAGCTGGAGCTTCAGTGCTAGTTGTGGAACATGAGATGATCTGGAAGATAGAAACCCTGATTCTGATAATGGAAAAGGCTGGAAACCAGGGCTGCTGGGTACATAATGAACCATTATAGAAGCCTTAGACTACACACCTCTGGAATAACTACATTTAGTACCAAGGATGGCCAGCAGGGAGGAGAGAGGGTGGCAGAGGAAGAAGAATGAAAATATCCCTACTTTGTATCACACCTGATTACAGACACATTAACATCCTCAACATAAAAGATGTCAATGTATATTTAACACAAGATAACGTAAGAAAACATATATGAACATATTATTTGCAACTTTCAAGTAGCAGAAAGTTTCAGGTAAGTTATCACTGGGGACAGACATGTAAAATGGGGTGGATGCACGCTAAGGAGTGCTATAGAGCTATTAGAAACATTGAAACAAATATATAATCAATAATGGAAATTGATCACCAGAAATATTGTGGATTATAAAAATAAAAGAAACCAATGAATTTTAACACAATAGTATCTATCTAAATTTTAAAATATGACCACAAAATGCAATTGTATGTTTTATAAGTACAATATACACACATAGAATACATCATGTTTCTTCAAAAGTGGAGTGAAATGAGAGTGAAATACTGATACAAGGAAAAAATAAGGAGAAAAGAGAGAAGATAGAAAAAGAAAAAAGGGAGGGGTGCATAATACCATGAGGTGATAGACTGAGAATTAATTAATTATATATTAATATGTTCTGCATTTGAGGTACAAAGCATTAAAAATATTTGTTGCTATATTAGAGGGCATATTAAAGGGAAAGATGACTACCAGCAGTGAGACTAGTTGCCAGTACACAGACTCATGTGTACCATAACCTATAACATAATAGCTACTCATTTAAAATGTATTTAAATAAATGATTTTTGAATATAACCCAGTAAGGGTTTTATATATTTCTGATATTTGAGCACCATTAGAATTTATAAAATCTTCTTAAAACAACATTATTTATATATATATATGATTGTGAGGTATTGTGTTCATAATTATCCTTTTCTTGTTCACCAAACAAGCAAGTAACAGCTATGAATGGTATAAAATTTTTTTAGAATCCTATTTCTATGGCATTATTTATTTTCTAATATAGAAACTATCACTGAAGGCAATACAATTTAATATGTGTGTATTTTGCTTTAAGTCAACGAATAGCATGCCAACTATTATACTTTGATTCTTTCTTTAGCACATCTTCCAATGTGTTTAAAAAAATGATCTGCCAGTATTTGTGTTCTGTAGGCTAAGGCATATCTTCATCACCAGCTAATGTATTTGTTCTCAAAAGACATGAGCAGAAACGACTGAGGATGTCTCCACATCTGTCTCCTCGAGGTGGCAGTTGTACTTCCTTCCCCACTGTTTCCTTCATTAAGGCTCATCTAGTCTTTTAAAAATTGGCAACTGTTTTGCAAAATTTGAGCATTTTTTCCCCTTCGAGGAATGGATCAGAGAATTTGTAAGACTGATTAAATTTTTAAAAAATAGTTATCAAGTAAACTTCATGGCCTCAAAGATATGGCTCCCTGTTGCTCAACCTGAGAGTGTAGTTTACTGACATGATTTTCAGCATTATAAACAAATCTTCAACCCAAGAAATATTATTCCATGAGGGATTTGGATAAGTAGTTTGAAAAACAAACTATGT
Source organism: Homo sapiens (assembly GCF_000001405.40). Lineage (NCBI taxonomy): Eukaryota > Metazoa > Chordata > Mammalia > Primates > Hominidae > Homo > Homo sapiens. The sequence goes on along the minus strand of NC_000013.11, from coordinate 70,713,664 downwards.
ATGTTTTTACAAAAGCATTGAAATCTGAATCTTATCCTAGGATGAAACATATTTCCCTCCCTGCAAAATCTTTGGAATATGTAAAAAAGTGACTGGCATATATGCAGCGAATACATGTAATTGGATGCAAGAGGTCATAACAACATCATAATCTTTATGTTTAGAAATAAATGTCTTTGAAACTTTAAAATTGAGGAGAAAATAATTTCTATGTTCATGTTTTTTTAAAAAGATGAAAAATTATTTTTATAATCTCATTTATTCATTCATTCATCAGAGAAATAATTGCTGAGTTCCTTCTATGTTTAAGGAACTGGGCTAGTTTCTGTGACAATCAAGTACTACTTTGAGGAAGTTTAGATATTAGTATGACAGATTATAGGTATGTAGTAATTTTGGTATGAAGTGAGCAATAAGAACTTTAAAAGAGGCTGGGTGCAGTGGCTTATGCCTGTAATCCCAGCACTTTGGGAGTCTGAGGGGGGCAGATCACCTGAGGTCAGGAGGTAGAGACCAGCCTGGCCAACATGGTGAAACTCTGGCTCTACTAAAAATACAAAATAGCTGGGGGTGCATGGTGGTGGGTGCCTGTAATCCCAACTACTCAGGAGGTTGAGGTAGGAGAATCGCTTGAACCTGGGAGGTGGATATTGCAGATTGCAGTAAGCCCAGATCACTCCACTGCAACACAGCCTGGGTGAGAGAGATACATTCCACCTCCAAAAAAAAAAAAAGAAAGAAAAGAAAGAATTTTAAAAGATTTTAAAAGAAATGCTGACTGGAGAGTAAAGTGTGTTCAGGAGATAATTCTCATAAGCCAAAATGACCCAGGGTAAAAACATGTTTCCCTCCTGGAATTCACGTCATTGTATAATTTTCTCCTCTTGAGTGTGAGTTCATCCTAGGTACTTGCTTCTACCCAAAAAAAGAATGTGAAAGTGGTGGGATGTAACGTCTAGACAGGGTCATAAAAGACTGACTTGTTGACTGCTCTAGGCAGTTAGGCTCTTCTCGCTTGCTTGTACTAGTAAAGCAAATAGCAGCAGTGAGAGGTGTCTTACAGAGGAAGGAGCGCATGTGCCAAAGATGGAACGTCAGCTTCCAGCCAACAGCCAGCAAGGAGCTGGGGACTTCAGCCCAGGACAACCTGTATACTAATAATCATGTAAATTAACTCATGGAATAGACCTTCTTACTGTTAAGATGGAAGATGACTGCAATCCTGTTAAATACTGTGATCATAGCCTTGTGAGGGACTCTGTGCCAGAGGTCAGTGTTGTGTCTGAATTCCTGACCCACAGAAATCATGAGATAATAAATATTTGTTGTCTTAAACCACTATGTTTATGTATGCAACTTGTTAGGCAGCAACAGATTACTTTTAGCATGTCTGAGAGGAAAGGAATTGCAAATTCATGTAATAATCTTTGGGGAACTTCTATATGCTAGACAGCAGGTATGCAGTAATGGACAGAACGAAGAGCTGCGCTTGTTAACCTTATGGTCTGCTAATAAAATATCCAACAATAATTATACTAATCATTATTTAATTTAAGTTGTGCTACGTTCAATGAAGGAACTGTGTAATGTGCAGGGAGGCCATAAAATAAAGGTACCCAGTCTAAGCTTGGGGGTAATGACTTCGCTCAAGAAATGATATTTCATCATATGAAAAACCTGGGTAGGAGGGTGACAATGGTATATGAGAGGAAAAATAGAAAAATCTCTTTATAGACAGGAAAAGTATATGGAAAGAACTTGGGGCTTGAAACTAGTGAGACAAAGACTTTTATATGTGGTGGGGCACTGTGGCTCATGCCTGTAATCCGAGCACTTTGAGAGGTCAAGGCAGGAGGATCATCTGAGACCAGGAGTTGGAGACCAGCCTGGCCAACATGGTGAAACCCCATCTGTACTAAAAATACAAAAATTAGCCAGGCATGGTGGCAGGCATTTGTAATCCCAGCTACTTGCGAGGCTGGGGCAGGAGAATCACTTGAACTTGAGAGGCAGAGGTTGCAGTGAGTCGAAATTGTGCCACTTCACTCCAGACTGGAAAACAGAGTGAGACTTCATCTCCAAAAAAAAAAGACTTTTACACATTGATACTCTTATGTATCAATGAATGTTCAGATTATTAACTAAATGCAAAGAAAATATGTTTAAGAAATTTACTTTTTTTTTTTTTTTGAGACAGAGTCTCGCTCTGTTGCCTAGGCTGGAGTGCAGTGGCTCAGTCTCAGCTCACTGCAAGCTCTGTCTCCCAGGTTCACGCCATTCTCCTGCCCCAGCCTCCCGAGTAGCTGGGATTACAGGCGCCCACCACCACGCCTGGCTAATTTTTTGTGTTTTTAGTAGAGAAGGGGTTTCACCGTGTTAGCCAGGATGGTCTCCATCTCCTGACCTCGTGATCCGCCCACCTCGGCCTCCCAAAGTGCTGGGATTACAGGCGTGAGCCACCGCGCCCGGCCAGAGCAATTACTCTCATGGAGAAAACATAAATTTTAGGAGGCCCATTAGGAAACAGAGAGATGATGGTGATTTCATCTCAGGTGGCTATGATGGTAATAGAGAATGAAAGACAATATGATACGCTGTAAAATGCAATCAGATGTACCACTACAACTATAAAATTATAAAATCTCAATTTTCCAAAGGCACAATCATTTACTAAATATACATTTTTGTTTAATCAAGCAGAAGTACTTAATGCTGAGTTGTTATATATAAGAATTTTCTTTATATAATGGGAAATAATGCATGAGGCAGAAAAGTTATAAAAGATTAGTTCTACTTTGCTACAGATTTCACTAGTATAGTTCTCTAGAAAAATGATCATACTAACTTATGTTGAAGGCTTTGATTTCTGTCTAAAACTTCAGTTAATTGTATTTATATTTATATACTCATCCTTTACTTCTATCTTAATTTCTAGCATGACTACAACAATGGACACGGATTGAAATACTAATGTTTTTCTAATCATGTGAGGCAGAGGAAAGGATGCCGTGTATAATAGCAGAGTTATTACTCTTATTTCCTCAACATTTTTTTCCAAAAGTTCAACGTTCAGTTTATCTGTGATGTAAAATAATATAATGCCAGACATATTAAAAAGTAAAATTTGCCAATGGGAGTTGAAGGAAAATCACCTTCTACTTCAATATCATAGATTTCAGAAGGTAATTTAGCCTAATAACTTGAAAAATAATTTTGTTTTCAACCTAATTTTGTACAAAGAAAAATATTTCATATTAAAAAATGTTGCATATTTATTCAGTTACTTAAAAATATTGTAGTCAGATGATATGATTTTTAGACTACGTCTTTGTTAATGAGACTATGTAGAAGAATTTTTGAAATCCTATTAGACAGTTATAAGAGTCACTTAGAGTAAAATTTATCCTGATATGGTACTTCACTTTTCATCTTATACTGTACCTCAAATAGATAAAGAACAATTATGAATTTTCTCTAGGTAGAGCCTATGTTATGAAGATCAACATATGAAAAATTATATACTATAAAATTATCTCTTATAAAGGATTTTAGAAGATAATAAGCATTCATGCCTCTCCAGAGGACTATGAAATTATTAACTTTCCTAACGTACATACTTTTTTTTACTGTAGCAGGTTTTGTGGACATATCATATTTACGTGAGCCCTTTTATTATTTTAAGGGGCAGTACTGAGAAATTTGACTGCATTTTGAGTTTGATACCACCTTCAACTTCAAACTCTCTGGTTCTTTTAATAAAAGCACATCGTGTTTTGCCAAATGCTTGTGCTTTCCCAGGAGTCTAGTTCCCTGTCTTCATTTAATGATTATTGGGCATAATTGTTCAGGTTTCACTGATTAGCGTCTGTCACCTTGACAGCCGTTTTAACCTTATTCTGATAAAGGGCAAACACTGTCTCATCATCTTTGGGTTATTACACTTGGTTCATACTCAGTGATTATTGACTCTGTACCTCCAACTCAGATTTAAATAAAAGGCCACTTATACCATATTAGACAATCCATGCTTTAATTTTATGAAGGTCATGCTATGTCAGGAGCTGTTAAGTCGTCAACCTATACTCCAAATATCTGTTCAAAGTTAGCATTAAACGGACCCCCAGAAATATATAGTAGAAATACCATAAAGCTGTGTATGAAAAAAATTAGAATGTGTTTACTATTACATTAAACAATATTGACAATAAAACTATTTAAAATTGTATTTGGAGGAGTGTTCTAATAATCACAGCTTAGGGTACATAGAAATTTCGTAAATGAACATTTATGGATCATCTACTGAACAAAAAAATACAGGGTTGTAGAAACAAGAACCAAAGATAATGAATGATTTTACCCACCTTTCTGCAGTACCTAAGGAATTTCCTTTAAACAAAAACAAAAATAAAACACTGTAATAGGAATATGTGGGAACACATTTTTATAAATTAGTGGTGCTGATCACCATATTTTACCAAGCACCTCAGACTAAAGACTTAGGCAATTTTCCATAGGAAAATTTAATCCTGTAACACTGCCAAAAACAGTTATGAAGTCAGTCAAATAATATCTTCTTCCCCAAAGCTTGGCAGGAAGTTTGTGCTGTTCCTAAAGAGAAAGTGCTGTTATCAAGACATCTGCCTTTGTCATTTACAGACCAGTTTACTACTGAGAATTGTTTCACAGTGGAACTCTGAAGTGAATAATAACTAATAGAGGAAAGAGAAAAAAGACCACTTCTTCCTAGGGCTGAGTTACCACTGATTCACTGTTTCTTATTTTGACTGATTAGTCAGTTACTATTTCCACTCATTATTGTCTTCATTTTCCTTACAACATGAAGCAACAGCTATTTTGTTTCCTTTTTACAGTGAAGGAAACTGAGGGTCATAAGATTTCAGAAATTTACCCAGGTAGTAAGAGGTGAAGCCAAAATTAAACTTGGGTTTATCTGGTGACTAACAATCTAAAATTAGCGAAACTATTATTTTTAAAAATCATGTATCTCATAAGTTATCTTTCTTAAGAAAAAAACATTATTAACCTAACTTGTAAGAATTGAATGGAGCACATTCTTTTAACTATGTGTTCCAAGGTACAGACTTCTGGCTCACTTTAGTTATCAGAGCATTTAAAAGACATGGATAACTCAAACATTTTGAGCTCTATGGAAAACATATACGGGGATATTTTTGTCCTAGTGGTGCCAGAGATTTAAATCAATTGTATAGTCTTTAAACGTTTTTGTGTAAAAACTGTACATTTGTAGTTAGTATGTAACAACTATTTACAATTATAAGGTATTATGTAAAACAAAGGCTAGTCATAGATTGCTATGATTCAATATGGGGGCATAATATATGATATATGTGAAACCACAAATCAATGGGGAAATGAGAACTGCTTTATAGAAGTTGTTGGGAAAACACATTTACTATCTGAAGAGAAAAATGAAACACTGGATTTCTACATTAAATTGTTTTTTAATTTTTATTTTTATTTCAATAGTTTGGGGGTACAGGTGGTTTTTGGTTACATGGATAAGTTCTTTAGTGGTGTTTTCTGAAATTTTAGTGCACCTGTCACCCAAGCAGTGTACACTGTACACATTATGTGGTCTTTTATCCCTCACCCCACTCCCAATCTTTCCCCCAAGCCTCCAAAGTCCGTTATGTCATTCTTATGCTCTTGCATCCTCTACCTTACTTTTTACAAAGATAAATGGTTAAAAAGACTAAAGACGAAAATATAAAATGTCAAACTCTAAATCTAATACCAAGAAATATAAGAGACTAGTTGATATCGTTTGGCTGTGTCCCCACCCAAATCTCATCTTGAACTGTAGCTCCAATAATTCCCATGTTTCGTGGGAAAAACCTGGTGGGAGGTAATTGAATTATGGGAGCAGGTCTTTTCCACGCTGTTCTCATAACAGTGAGTACGTCTCATGAGATCTGATGGTTTAATAAAGGAGAGTTCCCCTGCACACACTCTCTTGCCTGCCGTCATGTACGATGTGACTTTGCTCCTCCTTTGCCTTCTGCCATGATTGTGAGGCCTCCCCAGCCATGTGGAACTGTGAGTCAATTAAACCTCTTTCCTTTATAAATTACCCAATCTTGGGTATATCTTTATTAGTAACGTGAGAACAGACTATACACCAGTGCCAGAAGGAACTTCTAAACTTGACATGAACAGCACCATCTATAACGTGAAAATGAGATGGATTTGATTAGATCGAAGTTAAATAAATTTGTTGAAAAAAGGACACTGTGAATAAGCATAGGAGTCAGGAAACAGATTGATAGATGTTATATACAACCCACAAGGAATTAACATCCTTTGGCTCTACCTTCAAAATAGGCCCAGAACCCCACCACTTCTCACCAGCTCCACTGCCAAAATCAACTTCAAGCCATTATCATCTCACCTGATGCTGCTGCCATAGTTTCTTGACCAGCCTCCCTGCATCCACATTTGTCCATCTACTGTCTGTTTTCAACACAGTAGCTGGAATATATTTTTAAAATTATAAGCCAGGGCATGTCATTCCTCTGCATGACAATTGTCACTTGTGTCCAATATCACTCAGAGTAAAAGCCATATTTCTTCTTTGACTAGATCTCCTACTACCATTAACTTTCCTCTAGTCTTCCTCTTCCTTAAACACCTACATTGTGTTCCCACCTTAAGTTTGGCTTACTTCTTCCTGGAATATCTTCCTCCCGATATCTTCATGGGTAATATCCCTGGTGTCTCCGAGTCTTATTTAAAAGTCATCTCCTCACAGAGTCTCATCCTAATCACCCCATTTATTCATGTAACCCATCTTCTTCTAATTTCCTTATCTTGTTCTACTATTCCTCTTTTTCTTAGCACCTGTTTACTTATCACCTTCTAACACACTATTTCATTATCACCTTTATAACTCACATGTTTATTGTTTCCTAGCCCCACCATTTATCCACCCAACCTCCTGACCCACAAAATAGAATGTAAGTTTCATATTAACATAATTTGTCTCTTGTTTCCCAATATATTCTCAGTACATAAAACAATGCCTACAACATAGTAAGTGCTCAATAAAAATTTATTTAAAAAATGAATCAATGCATGAACTAAAAAATAAAATTATAAGATATTTCTGAAAATCAACAAAACGGAAAGGCATAAAACTCTCTAGAAATGTGGGCATGCATGTGAATACATCTTTTAAGAGTAAATTCAAAAGATTAACACATGTAAGAAGAGATATACAGGTTCACTAGAATAATACAAATTAAAGTTATTATGAAAAATTCTATGTAAGAGATTAGAAAAATTCAAAAGTTGGATAATACCATAGTTTGATGATATGCGGATACTAGTAACCCTCTTCATGTACTATTAAGGGACATAAACTGGTATAGTCACTTTGGAATGTACTCTGGAAGTTCTTCGCTAAGTAAGTTATGTTCAGGGATCCCTTGGCTTGATACTCATCCCAGTGGAAGTATATATGAAAATATTTATCATAGTATTTTTTGAGCCAGCAGGACATTGGAAGTGACCTAGTTATACATGACTAAAGAGGTAGATAAATAAAATATACAGTTATACAACATGGAAACCTATGAATTAGTTAGAAATGAATTAGATGTACATCAAACAAGTAGTGAAGTTATAAAAATGAATGCTGAAAAATATGAAGAAAGAACATACCTAAAATGCAATTTTAATATATGCAAATTAACAACTCAACCCTGCATATTTTAAAAGGGTACCCATATACTCAAGAATGTAGATCAGCCACATTGTAGTGGTTGTTTTTTTGGGAGAGAAGAATGGACATGATGATCAAAACCAACATGCATTTCCAACAGCACAAGAGCAGCATAGGCTTCTGGGCTTATTACAGGGTTATTTGCAGCTTCTGTTGCTTCTATTAGTTCCCTTCTTCTTTAAGCTTTTGATGTCCTTCCAACACCTTTGGAATCAAGTCTCTGTATCATATCTCTTGTAAGAAATATCCAGATTGGTTTCTCTTTCCCTGACCATTTGCTAACTCATGTAATACTTGATGACATTTGCTTTTGATAGCTGAAGGCTATGATTAACTCAATCTTCTAAAGCTGAGAGAAAAAGAAAAATAAAGAAAAATGGAAAAGATAGGCACATCAGGTACTGTTAGTGAATGGAAAACAATGTTGATTTAAGAGTCAATCAAAATATATTCATAAATTAGAATATATTTAAATATCTCTTCACCCAAATTTTCAATTTGCTAAAATAAACAAATATATCTATATCAAAATAAAAGCTTTCTGCAGGGAAAAATATACAATCAACAAAATGAAAAGGTAACCTATGGACTAGGAAATAATATAAAAATATTTGCAAACCAGCTACCTGATAAGTGGTTAATATCTAAAATGTACAAAGAACTCTTATAATTCAATAGCAGAAAAACAAATAACCTGATTAAAAATGGGCAAAGAATCTAAACAGACATTTCTCTAAAGAAGACATAAAAATGGGTAACAGGTATAGAAAAAGGTGTTTAACATCACTAATTATCAGGGAAATGCAAATTAAAACCGCTAAATCACCTAAGACCAGTAAGGATGGCTTTAAAAATTAAAAAAAAAATAACAAATATTGGGGAAGCTATGGAGACAACGGACCCTTGGATATTTTCGGTGGGAATGTAATTGGTACAGTCATTGTGAAAAAATATATTGAGTTTTGTGAAGAAAATTTAAAATAAAAATTCCATATGACTCAGAAATCCTTTTTCTGGATATATACCCAAAGGAGATGAAATCACCACCTTATAAAAATACCTACACTTCCATGTTTATTTCGTCACTATTCACAACCATCAAGATATAGAAGAAAACTAAATACCTATTGGTAGGTGAATGGATAAATAATGCGTGGTATACCTCCACAATGAAATATTATTCCTCCTCTAAAAAAGGAGATCCTCCCATTTGCCACAACATGAGTGTACCTGTAGCACATTAAGTTAAGTAAAATAAGTCACACACAGAAAGAAAAATATTGCATGATCTCAGTTATATGTGGAATATATATATATATATATGAATTCAAATACACAGAGCTACAGAATGAAACAGTGGTTACCATGGGTGGAGGTGGAAGAAAAGGAAATAAGGAGATGTAAGTCACAGGACACAAAATAGCAGACACGTAAAATGAACAAGTTTAGAGATCTAATTTACATGAGGACTAAAGTTATTGAAGTTGTATTGTATTAGAGATTTCTGTTAAATTAGATTTTAGCTGCTTTGTCACAGAAGAAGTAACTATGTGAGATGATATGTTAATCTGCTTTACTATGGTAACCATTTTGCTGTCTATATGTATTCCATAACCTCATGTTATGAACCTCAAATATACACAATATAATTTATTTTTTAAGAAATTTGCATTTGTCAATAGTTTATTATATCTATCTATCTATCTATCTATCTATCTATCTATCTATCTATCTCTCTGTCTGTCTATCTACCATCTATCTATCAATCATCTGGAGTGAAAGAGAAAGGTTTATAATAGGTCAGGGAAATGACTGTGGAATATTGTAACAACAGTGGAAGAAGGCAGGCTGCCCCCAGGAAGGGAGTATAGTTTGGGGTGAATCAGTTCCTTTACCCAAGGGAAATTCCTGGAAAGTGGATCCGCTGTCAGGTCTCAGCAGCCAACACTCCTGGCAGCTGGGGAATGACTAACTCAGTCCTGAAGAAGGAGTCAGAGCAGCACGATGTGGTGGCCACTAAGATGCCAAATTTCTGTCACACCATCCATTACACCAACCCGTACCCCCTCCCTGACCACGTGTGCCAATGCTCAGAATGGGTATGCAGCTAGAATAAAAACTGGAAGAGCAACCCTTCATCCTCCTTCCTTCCTTTATCTCCTTAACCATATGTTAAGGTGGGAATGGTGTTTCTTTTGGCGGCACTTAAGATGGTTACAACCATACTCCAATCTTTAATTCTCTTGTTCATCTATTTATTCGATGCAATTTTATTGTCTCATTACTATGTATGTAGTAGTTTAAAAAAACTTCATTTTACCCTTAAGTTCAAAGAAAGTGTTATTCAGCAAATATTTTTCCAGTTTTCTTTATCTAAATATGTATCTTGATATCAAGATAAAATAAATGCCATATGATGACAGCCTCATGACAGAATTCCAAGAGCTTCCAAGAGGAAATAAAATGCTAGCTACAAAGTATCTTCTTTTCTTCACATGTAGTTTGTCTTGCAAGCACAGAGGAGAGAGCTATCTTTCAGAAAGCAATTTGTCAGCAGGGAAGCCAAAACTTTCCATCTCTTTTCAATAAACATGAATTACGCTCTTATTCAATGGAATTTTTAAACTCATTAAAAAAGTAAACTCTTCTTATTGGAGAATCATAAAAGGAGGATTCAAACTTCAGGTAGACTAATACTGACAGCCTACTCCATATATCAAAGTATTTGAAATGCGTGTTACTATCTCTTGACTTTCAAGGTATTTTATGTACCTAGTAGTATAAAGATTTAATATTTTGGAGTGAGGTAGTCCTATGTTCGGTCTTAATTGGATGATGTTGAGTAAATTACTTAATTTTCTCAATTCTCAGTTTTCTCCTCCGTAAAAGCAGGGTAAGTATGACAATCAGTGACATGGAAAGAAATAGACGATCAAAGCAAAGATTTATTTGTTTGCAATCTAAGGAAAATGAATTTAAGTATCTGGAACAATTATTTATATGAAGTTCTTAAATAAATATAGGATTAATAACAGCCATTGCTTTAGAATTAGGGAGTCATCAAGCCTTCTGTGTTTAAGACTACTAATCTTTGAAATCCCTGGTTTGCAAAGCAGCTACCTGGAGGGCACATGAATCAGAGATATCAGTGCCTTGTGACTTTGTCATTCTATGGCTGTTTTGGACCGCAGTGTTTCTTACCAATGATCGACTGCAAGGACAAAAGAAAACCCTGATCCTATAAAATTAATTCTTCTTATAGTAAAAGGACGAAGTGTCCGTGGACATGGATCTGGACACATACAGGGTCTATCCAATACTGACAATTCTCCCAGAACTTGGTCCCTAGGCTGAGCTCTGTGGAGTAATGGACATCCCTAGAGTATTCATTGAAAAGAAGCACAAGTACAGATTTTCCTAGATTGAGCTTGGGTTTGAGAAAGCTCATGGTCCATCTTCAAAGTCAAACAGTGGTTCATCCAGGAGCTAGGTATATGATGTCATCACAGATCAGACAATATCACTGAGTGGTCAGTTAAGAACCATCTTTATTTTCTTTTCCTTCCCTTCCTTCCCTTCCTTCCTTCCTTCCTTCCTTCCTTTCTCTTTTCCTTTCTCTTTTCTTCCTTTCTTTCTTTTTCTTCTTTCTCTCCTTTCTTCTTTCTTTCTTTTCGTTCTCTTTCTTTCTTCTTTCTCTCTCTTTCTTTCTTTCTATTGTAATAATGTGTGGCACAAAAAAGCAATAGAAGTAATACATTTGTTCATTATCACTAGAAAAATAAACTGTTGCAACTATATTTACTCTCTAGAATTACAGAACATGTCATGCTGACTACAGAGGAAATGACTATATACAATCCACCACTGTTTCTATTATATGGTTCATTAATTGCCCAAATTCTAGATAACTTCATGGTGTGTGTGTGTGTGTGTGTGTGTGTGTGTGTGTGTGTATGAAGATATCATCAATGTAGTTTTCTCAAATGATCATTTCCTAAACTTTGTTTTAGGATGTTTACCACTGATGTCATGATTAAAAAATTACCTGTAGTCAGTAAGATAAAGATTCTATAATTTCAATAAAATTGTATTTATTTATTTTTAAGGCTAGTCAAATGAAGCAGTGGGAGAAAATCTAACTAAACTATAGTTTTATTTAATTTGCACCAGACTATTTTGGTGGGAGAGGGCAGGAGTGCAAGGGAAAGGAAGTTGAAAAGCACGGTTCCCCGCATTCCAGGGAGACTGTATCAATGCTGTTATACCTGATGTTAATACATTTGCTGTTTTTGAAGCAGTTTTAAACTTATGAGGTCATTGTTCAGTGAGCTGGAGGTCTTGACACTATGCGCATTAATTGTCTAAAAAGGTAAAGCTCAGGGTGAACTAGAGTAGTTGAAGAAACTAAGAAAGAGGTAGAACTTGAACTGGGTTTATGATGGGTGAGTAGAATTAAGTGTGAGAAGAATAAAAGTCAAGAAATATCTCTAGAAAGAAAAGCATACTCAAAGTCATGGGGTTATAACTTTGTACATATTGCTTAACTTCTCTGTTATAGATTGGTTTCCACTAGGAGCAGACTCCAAGAATGAGACTGGAGCACAGGACATTTGTTAGGGAATGCCCTTGGAATCAATACTTGCAGAAAGGCAAGGAAAGGAGTAGGAATTTTCAGGGAAAGAAGTTGAGCTTATGCATTCCAAATGATAAACCCAGCCAAACATATAGGGTGCTTGAACCATCAGAGCTGTCCTAAGTTGGGAGAAAGAGGGTAATATTTTATACACCTATTATGCTCAATCATTGGATGCCATTGCCCTGTGAAAGGAGATATGACTTTAGACAAGAAATATTTCTTCGTCTAAGGTGGTCTCCAAAGCAGGCTGATATCTGAGAGCCACTTTTTTTTAGCGGCTTCATTCACATGCAATTTACTACTTTAATCATTCAGTTCAGTGACTTTTGTTCACAGAGCTGTACAATAATCACCACTGTCTAATTTTAGACTATCTCATCAGCCCGCAACAAAACCCCATAACCATCAGTAATCACCCCCCCATTTTTTCTCCCTACCCCAGCTTCTGGCAATCACTGATATACTTTCTGTATATTAATTTGCCTAATCTGGATTTTTCATATTAACTGAATAACACAATATGTGTCTTTTTTTACTGGATTATTTTCACTCAGCCCAAATATTTTTACATCTACCCACATTGTATTATAAATCCATATTTTTTCCTGTTTATGGCTGAATAATATTCCATTGCAGTAGCATACCACATTTTGTTTGTCCATACCTCACTTGCTGGATATATAGGTTGTTTTTATTTTTTAGTTAGTATTGACAATGCTGCTATGAACATTTGTGTAAAAGCTTTTTGTGGACATGTGATTTTATTTGTCTTTGATGTATACCAGTAAGTGGAATTGCTAGGTCATATGAAAACTTTGTGTTTACCATTTTAAGGAACTACAAAATGTTTTTTAAATTGCAACATTTTTTATTCCTCCTAGCAATAAAGGAGGGCGCAATCTATTTTTGAATAATATTCTTTAAATTTTCCTTCTAACATAAAGATGACTTAAATACAATATTGTAATTTTAAGGCACTTAAGCACATAATGAAACCAGTAACATTATATATTGTGTTTTCAAGGCAAAAAATTAAAAACTAGTGAAAATGTGTCATCCGGATATGATACTGGTGATTATTTTATCACAGAAAATTGGTAAATAGTTTCAAAATTGATTTTCAAGTGAACATTTGATATTGAAAAGTTACCAGCAAATTATACTGATGTAAATGCAGCATTTTGTAAAGATAAACTTGAAACAAAGTGGAAGCTGAATCCAGTCCCCCCTTAAAACAATGGAGGATTTATTTATTTATTTATTTTTTACTCTGTAAGTAATGATAACAGTTCTTTCACAATACTTTGTACTGAGGAAAAAATAATGCTAGTGACATGGAGAGGCAGAGAGAAACAGAATAGGATTCTGACCAAGGATGCATTTTTATACTTTCCTGGCAAATGGAACAGACGCCCAACATGGCTGACACGTGAAAAGCAGGTTACCTGAGATTCCGAGTACAGCGGTCAAGTCAGCCACACCCTGTTCCAAATAGTGTTGTTGCCTGGCCTTTTTTGCCAGCTGACCATATTGTGCTTTGATTGCCAGATCCCCGAATCTTATAAAACTCAGTAGAAAAAAAATGCTTGTAACAAAGTCAACATTCTAAGGTACAAAACTGCAGGGAAGAAGGTAAAAAAGAAGTGACTTTAATAAGATGAGGTAAAATAATAAAGATGCCAAAGACAGAAAAGGTCAAATGCGCTAAAGTTAACTGAAGCAGCAGTCACCGTAAAGAAAAAGCCTTTCAAATTTTCAGGTTTCAGTCAGCAATTCTGAAATAGCACACTTGGCATTGATGTGTCAATACTGCATATATGTGCCAAACATGGAAAGGATTTTTCTTCTGCCCATTCATGTCATTGTGACATTCCAAATTGTCATTTGAAAAACAGTCTTTTAATCTTTATGAAAGAGAATGATTATGAACTTCTATTTTACTTGATGATGAATATTTGGAGAACATAGGGCTTGTTTTTATTTATTAAAGCTCTTTAAAATTAAATTTTCAGTTATAAGTAATTTTTTAGGGAGGGTTTTGGAATAACTTGGCTTGATTAAACTGGAAACTATTTCCTGAAAACTATCAGAAAAATTTAATAACTAGAGTTATATTAAATGTCGGGTGAGTTTTAGACAGTGTGATCAAATGAGAGCACCGATTTCATTTAAAAAATATCATAACACATTCTTATCTCCCTTGCAATAGGCTCAGATAAGTCATTATTTTAAGAATGTTCTCATGAAAATACATAACTCCACATCTGTAAATTTTGTTGGCCATAATTTATATATTCCTTTTCATCAGCATTGCTTGGAAGTATATTGTGTTTAAACGACTTAAGAGGCCTGCTGAATAGATTCAGCATTCGCGCATATTGTAAACTGGTACTCTTTTTGGTCTATGGGGCAGCATTATTACATGTCATTCTTTTTTCTTTTTCTGATTGCTCATGCTCCTCTTCTTTCATTTATACGCAGAGACAATGCCATTTCTTCATTTACCTCTGTACAATCGTGCTCTCAGACTCTTCATTTGTAGTGAAGCATCGTTTTGAAAATAACCTTCCTCTTGTTTTAATTTAATACTAATACTACTAATAAGAATAGCTATTGTTTTCAGCACTGAAAACATCCCATGTATGCATCAAAAAGCATGCACACATTATTCTTCACAAAACCCCCAGCTAATAAATGCAGAAAGACCAGAGAAGCTAGCTATTTTTAACAATAATAGAGAACTTATAAGATATAAGGGGAACATTTGTATGCGAGTCCATCTTATGTTGAGACAACTCATTTCTTTCTTCTTACATTATCCTGATTCAGTCAAAGCAATTGAGTTCAAACAAATAAGACGATAAACTTTCAGGCAGCCCTCCCTAAAATTTCCTCAAACTACAGTATAAATGGAGGCCAATAGACTAAGTGACTAAAAATTTTAAGGTTATAAATCAAGTTATACATTTATAAATCAAGAAGGTTTTTGACAATCCTATATTCATCTTTCACATCTTCCCCATCTTCTTGTGGCTATTCTTCTTGTGGCTACTCCTCCACCATAAGTAGCCTCCTATAGATGCACAGGGACTCCACATCTTCTTGTGGCTACTCCCCCGCCATAAGTAACCTCCTATGGATGCACAGGGACTCCCTGACTTCAGTTGGATCTCCATCATTCCCTTTCTTACAATTAATGACCCTTTGGTCCTTCTCATGGTTTAGGGGTCCTAGCATAATCAGCCCTTGGCTGTAAAGACATGTGGAAACAGCCTGTACCTTCCCTGAACATAGGCTTGGAGGCATTTGATAGGAATTCTGGAGTTCTCCATGCTTGGGTGCTTGGAGTGGTACAGAGAGGATTGTGCTGCAACCAAGTGGATGCAACCCTTTGGCTCTTGTAAACTCCTCCTCCTATTAGGAGTGGCATAGCTTGAGAAAGGCCAGAGCAGGGTCTTTGAATGAATGGACCCCAGAGAGTGTCACCTCTTCCTCGGCTCTCAGGGCTGTGTAAGAAATCACCCAATTCTGGGACATGTTTTTAGAAATAATTCCACATTTCTCAGAGCCCCTAAAATCCCTTAATTCAATCCATGCATGGGTCTGTTCTAATCTAAGCAATGCATTCATAAGGATTTTCACCTTCAATCAATAACAAAAAACATTCATTCTGTAATTGATGCATTTTATTTATTTTATATTTCTTGAAATAATAATGAAACAAAATTATGAAAGAGTTTTCACCACACTGAAGAAAGTTTGAGAAAGCTAAATTATGCACCTAATTGAGGTGGCTATTGGTGATATTAAAATTTTAAGAAGACCCAATAAAGCTTGGTTTATTTTCTAATTCTCTTTGTGGCTAAAAATACATATATATAAACCTAAAACCAAACCAATGCAAACAAACTTTCAGGATTCCTTGATTTTTAGAGTAAGCTGAAGTCAATGGAAGACAGATGAGTGATAAGTTCTTAAAACAAGATGTTAATATTACATTCTCCTCAGGTATAGAAGGTGAGAGCCAGGCACACCTAACACATATGTCAACAGTGAAGCAATTCAGATTTTTCTATCCCTACAGCAGTTCAGAGACAATGATATATGAAAATGTATTGACTTGAAAGAAGAAATTAATTAAAAATGAGAAATTCATAAACGTGGAGGTTGAAGAATTCTCCAGGGTCACTGCCTTCCTGCAAAATAAAGTTTCTGTGGGTTCTCTTTCTGAGTGATACTCCCTCTCTGCCAACTGAGTGTGACTGAAATGAATGTCCCAGACAGGTTTGTGGCTTGAATTTTCTTCACTACCTGTTCAGGTAATCAGTCAGAAAACAATGTGAACACCATTGCCTATGTCAATTAAATTAGGTCAAAAGTGTAACAGCAGTGGAAAAAAAAAAAGATCAGACAGTTAGGCAAAAGCCCAAGACACTAGAGCACCTTATGTTATGAGCAAACAATTCACTACACAATTTCTAAAGAGAGTAAGCTCACAAACTGTTAAATACTGTTTTCCTTTGGGTAAAATTTTAATTAAAAAAGCAGCATGGATGCAGATTTCAGATCGTCACTATTCAAATAGCTGAGAAAGCTGTTTGAATTTTAAAAACTCACAGTATATCCTTTAAAAACGTTTTTTGCATGTATTTAAATATGATTTTATCAAAGTTTGTAAGATCACAGTAGAACAATGGAAATCCAGGGTAAGGTTAATCCTTGTGTGATACTGTGAGGAGTTTTAGAGGTTTTATCTCCTTAGGTTTTGGTGAATCTAATAATTTCCTGAGAAAATTATAATGATAATTAAGTAATTTCAGAATTGTTTTAAAATAACCTGTTCAAATGTCGTGTTTCTTTGGATAGCAAGTACTGAGTAAAAAAATGAATGATAATAAATCAAATAGTTTCAAGAAGATGTTAAGAATTAGCTAAATGTATAACTGATATTAGGAAAAAGAAAAGCTAAAAGCAAAATAAGGTAAGCAAAATTGACTAATTGAAATGCTTTCTTTGTTGCAGATATTATATACTATGGCATTATTTATTTTTAAAAAGGGGAGTTAGAAATTGGCTCTTCTTCAATGATAAATAAACTTCTAGAGAATTTTTTAAAATAAGAAACTTCATAAGTACTTAGATTTCACTTATATAATTCTACTTTGTTTTAATTTTACATAGTTTATTTTAGACTTCTATACTATTTCTAGAAATAAACCATATACTGGTTGATAAACATAAGCTTTATTTTTCTATTTCCAGAAGTTTTACTCTTATGCCCAGAGCAAAATTTATCATTTCAAAAATTGCAGTACATAAGCATTGAATTCAGTGTATATATTATAGAGCTTTCCTTGTTATTCCTTTGATATTGTTGCTAACAAAAGCATTTTCCACAATGGAAAGTGTAGGTAGTCAAGAATTTATTTATATGAATTATACACATACATAAAGTAGGCATACAGATTTATGTTTTGTGTGACCCTTTTAACTCTCTATACTTGCTGTTAAGTTGTATATTTTTCCATCGGAGCACGTAACTCATGAGAAAATGAGTAACATTGAAAACTCAGTTAAGTCTCAAAAATAGGCATTAGTTCTCAGACATGACTCTCCTTTTGGGAAATCAAAGATTTTATTGCTGGATAAATTAATGTTTCAAATGTATGAATACAGATGCTGTTTGCAAATTTGTCACAATCTGTCTCCCAGCAGAAGAATTTATACTGTATACAGTAATAGAAAACAGAAAACTGCATATTTCACTAAATTGCAGCTGTGTGTGGAAGATTTATGCGATTATTTTTTGTCAGTGAAACATGTAGTGAAGCACTCATGTATTTCACTAGAGTATTGTAAATGGGCTGCATATATTTATTTTTAAACTTATTCTACATTTATTTCATGAAATATATAATGCACTTATTGCATTAAGAAGAACCATATTAAATCTGTTCAGAGTAATTTCTTTATTTCAAAAGCCAGTTTACATTTTAAATATTGAACAGGATTTTAACATTCAACTTTAGAAGAGTAACACGTTTTTCCATCCAAACGTTTTCTTAGACCTTGAAACTGTGCCAACACCCAAAAAAATCAACTGTAAATATATACAATCAGCCATGAACTTTATTATTATTGGCAACTAAACTTAAGCATAACAGGCCCACAGCAAGTATTATATATAGAGAGAATTATCTAATTGATCATGTCATTGTGTGTACACATATGTGCATATGTGAAACTCTCACACAATTTTGTGTAAATTGCTTACATCTTGTGTTATTAATGTGTGGAAAAAGCTTAACATTATAAAATATGCCTCATGGTGCTGGGACAATTTAAAAATCTTCCTTTTGTTTATATTCCGAGCTGGATAGAGGAGTAGTCTTTTTCCAAAGAAGTTTGGAAAACAGTCTTCTTCCAATTTCTCATAATACTAAACTATACATAAAACACCAACCTATGATGCCATAATACCCTAGAGTAAAGGAACATTACAGTTATAGAATGTCTACGAAGTAATTTCTAGAGTTTCTTTTTTTTAATTGGCCAGAATTTGTATGTTAAATCAAATTGAAGCCAAGGATTCAAAAGATTAATTATTAATTTGTAGTTTGAGAGGAAACTTTCTGGAAAAGCTGGAAGAATAAATTGAGCTATAATTATTTCTTGCTCCAATATCTAACAAAATAAATTAAAAATATTAGTAAAGAGAGAGAAAAAAACACCAGCATCCTTCAATTAAGGAATGCTGCAATTCCACACGATGAAGCATCAAAGGAAACAGCAAAAGAAATAGAAGACTTGTTTTTAAAGGCAAGGCTCAGCTTTAAGCCTAATCCCCATTCTCTAGAACAGGGAGTAGAGAGTCAACATCCTGAGAGATTTCATTAATGCCCCTAATTTAGAAAGAAGTGCATAATTAGAGTTTCTCATCTTTATTTTCTTCTGTAATCTTGAGGGAGGAGGGAAGGACCAGATAGGAGAAGGGACTCATGAAATAGGCGATGTGGCCAACCTAGTTTTACATTCACTATCGAATGCATAAGATAGAGAATATAACAATAAAGTGATTAAAAAACAGTAATTCATAATTTTAAATATGTGCTTATGGAAATAAGATATTACCATATAAGTGTAATGAATTATATCAGATGTTTAACATAATATCAAAAGAAGAAGAATCCCAGGCCTACAAAACAGGCTCTGATGAAGTCTGTTAAAAAAAAAAAAAGTAGCTTAGGTAGAGAAATTGGTCTCAGAAGGATGTAAGACAACATCATAGAGTCTGTTAAATGTATCTTCTCAGTTTAATATGCAAGAATACAACTATAGGAAAATGCAAAGAAAAAGATAAAGCAAAATTAGCAAAATAAGATGAAGATTTAAAAAGGAAGATGAAGAGGAGGAAAAGGGAGAAAGAAGAAAAGAATGGAAAGAAAATATAGTAAGAAAAGTGACATTGTCAAGATGACAGAATAGGAAGCACTGGAACCTTCCATTTCACTACAGATACACTGATTCAATAATTATTTGCAGACAAATTCCCTTTGTGAAAAATCCAGAAACAAATTGTGCAAATTGAAAGGCTCAATTTGTACCTAAGCCACTTTTTGTAGCCGGAAAAGAGCCCTTCTTAGAATCCTGGGGTTCTTCTTTCTTTTCTGATATTTTGTTAAATATCTTATATGATTCATTCTACTGGTGTGGCTTGTATCTTATTTCCATAAGAGAATACTTACAATTGTGAATGTGAAATCACATTCATCAAAGCCAGTGGACAGATCTGTCACACATTCACACTGTACTCCTTACCCTCAGCAGAGGCCACACAATCAAGAAGAGACCCCCAGGTCAATGCTTATCTCAGGGCTAGGAAAAAGTTTGTCTATGTGTTTAACATCTAACTTTTCTTTGTGGGTTTTCCAGAGAACTGACTTCTGTACTGCCAAGCTTGCAGCCCTGATAGGATTAGAACAATCTAGCCACTTGGGGGATAAACAAAGACAGAAAGTTGGCCTAGAAGTCATCATAGCTCTTCTCCTTAGCTCAGCACAGAGCAAATAGAGAAAATGTTCCCAGCTCCCAGCTTCTCCTTCAGAGGGAAATAGTTGATCAATGAATTCGATGCCACATTTTGGAAGGCTGCCCCCAGAACTAGTTTTTGTCTTGCTTGTCTTGGGGCACTGACAAAATCAGACACAATCTACCCATCTGGGGGCTACTGAAACACAGATTAAGGTTTGGGCTGGTAGTCACCATAGCCTCTCTCCAGATTCGCACAGAGTGCATGATTAAAAATAAACCCAATTTCTAGGTTCTCCTTGGGGAAAGAAATAATTAAATGAAACATCACATGATCCGATATTTTGGGGGAGGGCACCTGAGGAACTCGCTTCAATCTTACTTGTCTTACTTCAGTGCGCTGATATGACCTGGAAAACTGGATGACATCTGGGGGTTATAAAGAACAAGAAAGAAGCTTGGAGCAGTACAAAGGTTTGAAAAGATCCCAGAATCTCTGGGTAAGCTGATTGATTTGTAGTCTTCTTCTATATGAGGCCAGTCTTAAAAGACTGGGAAAGGAAGCTGTTTTGTCTAATGCACAGACACAAGTATAGAAATTCAAGAAATGTGAAGAAACAAGAGAATGTACTCCAAACAAAGGAATAAAATAAAATTCCAGAAACTGACCCTAATGAAATAGAGAGGAATGATTTACCTGAGAAAGTGTTAGAAATAACCTTCATAAAGATACTCACTGAGATCAAGAGAATAATGCATGGACAATGTGAAAATTTCAACAGAGATGGAAAATAATTATAAAAAACAAAGAGAAATCATAGAGCTTAAGAATACAATAACTGAATTAAAAAATTTTTAACACAGATTCAACAGACTAGATCAAGCAAAATAATGAGTTAGCAAGATTGGAGACGAGTCATTGAAAATAATTCAGTCAGAAGAGAAAGACATTAATCTATGTGACACCATACAGTTGACCAATACATGCACTATGAGAGTCTAAGAAAAAGAGAAAGACAAGGAGCAAAGATCTTACTTAAAAAGAGAGAGATAGACTTAAAATTATCCAATTAAAACTACTTAGAAAAATAAACCACACCTGTCAAATAGAAATACTAAACCCAACAAAATTATCTTTCAAAAATAAAAGAGACATTGTATTATCCAGAGAAACAAAAACTGAAGAAGGTCATCATCACTAGAACTGCTTTACAACGTTTGTTACAGGGATTCTTCAACATGAGATGAAAGAACACTAAACAGGAAAAGGATAGGAAGCAAAATGATAAAAGAAGATGGTAAAGGTAAATATATAGCCAAATACAGAGTAATATAATGTCACTGAATAAATCACTTTTAATTCTAGCATAAAATTTAAAAGACAAAAATATTTTAAAATTATAACTTAAAATTATGTTAATAGATACACAATATAAATAAATGTAAATTGAGAGAGTAATAATATAAAGTGTGGAGGGAGAGAAACAAAAGTGTGGAGTTTTTTTATTTGATTAAATTTAAGTTGTTGTAAGCTTAAAACTGACTGTTATAAATATAAGCTATTTTATGTAAGCCTCATGGTACCCATGAAGAGAATACCTATAGAAGTTACACACAAAAAGGAGAAATGAATCAAAGCATAGCAATATAAAAAATCAATAAAATACCATGGAAGATAGCAAGAAAAAATGATGGACAGAGTAACAGAAAACAATGAACAAAATAACAATGGTAAATCCTTCTGTATCAATAATTACTTTAAATATAAGTGGATGAAACTCCCCAATCTAAAGACGTAAAATGCATGAATGGGTAAAAATAAAAGATACACCTATATACTTTCCTCAAGAACTCAGTTTAGATTTAAGTATACACACAGGATGAATGTGAAGAGAGAGAAAAAGATACTTCATGAAAATGGAAAGTGAGCAAGAATGTCTATACTTATATCAGACATAATAGACTTTAAATCAAAATCTATCAGAAAAGACAAAGACATCATATAATGATGAGGGCCAATTCATTAGGAAGATATAATAATTTAAATTATATGTGTACCCAACAACAAAGCACAAATTATATAAAGCAAGCATTGACAGAACTGAACTGAAAAATAGACGACCATACAATAATAATAGGGAATTATAATACCCCACTTTTGATAAAGAATGGGATGTCCAGACAGAACATCAACAAGTAAACAGAGTAGTTGAAAAATAATGTAAACAAATTGAACCTGATAGATATACAGAGAACATTCCACCCCAAAGCATAACAACCTACATTTTTTTTTTCAAGCACACACATAAAATTCTCCAGGATAGGTCACATCTTAAGTTATAAAATAAGGCAAAGCAAATTTTAAAAAGATTGAAATTATATCAAGCGTGTTTTCTGACCAAAATAAAATAAAGTGAAAACTCAGTAGCAGAAGGAAGAGGGGAAAATTCACAAATATGTGAAAATTAAACGACACAGTCTTGCAGAATCAATGCAAAGAAAACGAAGGCAAGTTAAAAGATATCTTGAGACAAATAGAAAGAAAATTCACCACACCAAAATTTATGGGGTACAGCAAAAGCAGTACTAACAGGGCAGTGTGTAGTGTTAAATGACTACATTAAAAAAGAAGAAAGACCTAAAATAGACAACCGAATATTAAATCTCAAGAAAGTAGAAATAAAGAACAAATTAAGCCCCAAGTTAGCAGAAAAAAAAAGGAAATAAAGTTTAGAACAGAACAAATAGACTACAGAAAAACAATAGTAAAAAAAATCAACAAAACTAGACTTTTTTTTTTTTTTTTTTTTTTTTTTTTTTGAGATGGAGTCTTGCTTTGTCACCCAGGCTGAAGTGCAGTGGCGCGATCTCGGCTCACTGCAAGCTCCGCCTCCTGGGTTCACGCCATTCTCCCACCTCAGCCTCCTGAGTAGCTGGGACTACAGGCGCCCGCCACCACGCCCGGCTAATTTTTTTGTATTTTTTTAGTAGAGACGGGGTTTCACCGTGTCAGCCAGAATGGTCTCGATCTCCTGATCTCGTGACCCACCAACCTCCGCTTCCTAAAGTGCTGGGATTACAGGCTTGGGCCACCACACCTGGCCAAAACTAGACTTTTTTTTAATGATAAACAAAATTGACAAACCTTTAGCTAGACCTACTAAAAAAGAAGAAAAAAGACACAAATAAAATCAGAAATGAAAGAGAAGACCTGACAATTTATACCATAGAAATAAACAGATCATAAGATACTACTATGAATAATTATATGCCAACAAGCTGGATAAACTAAAAGAAGTGGAACCATTTTTAGAAACATACAACTTAACCAAACTGAATCATAAAGAAGGAGAAAGTCTGAACGGACCTACAACTACTGTGGAGATTGAATTAGTAATCAAAACTCCCCCAAAAAGTACAGCCCTGGACCAGATGACTTCACTGTTAAATTCTACCGAATATTTAAAGAAGAATTAATGGCAACCATTCTTAAACTCTTCCAACTTAAAGAGGGAACATTTTCAAACTCATTTTAGGAGGCCCAGCTTATCTTGATAATAAAGCCAGACAAAGGCACAACAGGAACAAAAAGCTGCATTCTAATATTCCTTGGAATATAGTTACAAAAATCTTCAACAAAACACTAGCAAATCAAGTTCAATAACATATTAAAAGCATTATATACCATGATCAACCAGGATTCATCCCTTGGGCCCAAAGATTATTTAATATACAAAAATTAATTAATATATGATGTCTCATTAACAGAATAAAGGATAGAAATCACATAATCACTCAATAGATGCCCAAAAAAAGCATTTGACAAAATTCATCACTATTTTATGCTAAAAACACTCAACAAATTAGGTATAGAAGGAAAGTATTTCAACGTAGTAAAGGCCATATATAAAAATCCCACAGTTAATATTATACTCAGTGGCAAAAACAGAAGACTTTTCACTAAGACCAGGAAGTAGGCAAGGATGTCCACTCTCACCACATCTATTCAATATAGTACTGAAAGTCTTAGCCAAAGCAATTAGGCAAGAAAAAGAAATAAAAGACATCCAAATTGGAAAGAAAGAAGTAAAATTGCCCCTATTTGTAGGTGGCATGACATTATACATAGAAATCCCTAAATACGCCATAAAAAACATTAGAACTAATAAATTTAGTAAAGTTGCAAGATGCAAAATCAACATATAAACTCAATTACATTTCTATACACTAAAAACAAACTATCTGCAAAGGGAATTAGGAAAATAAGTCCACTTTCAATAGCACTAAAAATATATTTTGTTTGTGAATATTCCCTCCCATTTTTAAGGTTGTCCATTTACTCTGTTGATGGTTTATTTTGCTGTGCATAAGTTCTTTAGTTTAATTAGGTCCTACTTGTTAAATTTTGGTTTTGCTGCAATTATGTTTGCAGATTTAGCCAAAAATTATTTGCCAAGGTTGATATTGAGAAAATTATTTTATAGGTTTTCTTCTAGGATTTTTATATTTTGAGGTCTTACATTTAAATATTTAGTCCATTTTGAGTTAATGTTTATATATGGTGAAAAGTAGAGGTTCAGTTTTATTCTTCTGCTTATGGATAGCCAGTTATTCCAGCACCATTTATTGAATAGGGGACTCCTTTCCCAATTGCTTATTTTTGTTGACTTAATTGAAGATCAGATGGTCAGAAGTGTGTGACTTTATTTCTAGGTTTTCTATTCTGTTTCATTGGTCTATGTGTCTGTTTTTGTACCAGAACCATGCTGTTTTGGTTACTGTAGCCTTATAATATAGTTTCAAATCGGGTAATGTGATGCCTTTGGCTTTCTTCTTTTTGCTTATAATTGCTTTGGCTATTTGGACTCTTTTTTGGTTCCATATGAATTTTAAAATCATTTTTTTCTAATTGTGTGAAAAAATGACATTGGTAATTTTATAGAAATGTCATTGAATCTGTTAATTGCTTTGGATAGTATGATCATTTATAAAATGTTAATTCTTCCTATCCATAAGCATGGAATGTTTTTCCATTTATTTGTGTCATGTCTAATTTTTTTCAGTAGTGTTCTTTAGTATTCCTTGAAAATTAAACAGAGGAGATATTTGCCTCCTTGGTTAGCTGTATTACTAGGAATTTTATTTGTTTAATGACTATTCTAAATAGAACTGTGTTCTTGATTTAACCCTCAGCTTGAACATTGTTGGTATATTAAAATGCTACTAAATTTTGTACATTGATTTTGTATCCTGAGACTTTATTGAAGTTGTTTATCAGTTCTAGGAGCCTTTTTGGGGAGTCTTTAGGGTTTTTTACTTGTAGAATCATAATGTCAGTGAAGAGAGATAGTTTGATTTCTTCTTCTTTTTTCTTTTTTTTTTTTTGGATGCCTTTTCTTTCTTTCTCTTGCCTCACTGCCCTGTCTACGACATCAAGTACTACGTTGAGTAGGAGCCGTGAGAGTGGGCATCCTTGCCTTGTTTCAGTTATCTAGAAATTATAGACTCTATAAGGAAGTAAAACAAATCAACAAGTAAAAAACAAATAACCCCATTAAGAAATGGGCAAAGAACATGAACAAACACTTCCCAAAAGAAGATTTACAAATGGCCAACAAACATGAAAAAATGCTCAACATCACTAATCATCAGAAAAATGCAAATCATAGAGGCAAAAAAAAATCTACTGTATAGATAGAGAAACAAGGCAACAATGAAAGCCTTCTCAGCAGTCTTGGGTACTCTGAGACCCAACAATTTCATGACTTTGAAGCTGCTTCTGGCTGCATCACCAATTCTCTGGGCCAAGTGGACCAAATAGACATCTACAGAACTCTCCACCCCAAATCAACAGAATATACATTCTTTTCAGTGTCCCGTGGCACTTATTCTCAAATCGACCACATAATTGGAAACAAAACACTCTTTAGCAAATGCAAAAGAACTGAAATCATAACAGTCTCTCAGACCACAGTTCAATCAAATTAGAACTCACGATTAAGAAACTAACTCAAAACCACACAATTACTTGGAAATGGAACAATCTACTCCTGAATGACTCCTGGGTAAATAATGAAATTAAGGCAGAAATAAAGAAGTTCTTTGAAACCAATGAGAACAAAGAGACAACATACCAGAATCTCTGGGACACAGCTAAAGCCGTGTTTAGAGGGAAATTTATAGCACTAAAATGCCCAAATCAGAAAGCTGGAAAGATCTCAAATTGACACCCTAACATCACAATTAAAGAGCTAGAGAGGCAAGAGCAGACTAATCCAAAAGCTAGCAGGAGGCAAGAAATAACTAAGATCACAGCAGAAATGAAGGAGATATAGACACATACACACACACAAAAAAAAAACCTCCAAAATACTCAGTGAATCCAGTAGCTGGTTTTTTGGAAAAAATAACAAAATAAATAAACCACTAGCTAGACTAATTATGAAGAAAACAGAGATGAATCAAATAGACACAATAAAAAATGATAAAGGGGATATCACCACTGACCCCACAGAAATACAAACTACCATTAGAGAATACTATGAACACCTCTACACAAATAAACTAGAAAATCTAGAAGAAATGGATAAATTCCTAGACACAGATACCCTCCCAAGACTAAACCAGGAAGAACTCAAATCCCTGAATAGACCAATAACAAGTTCTGAAATTCAGGCAGCAATTAATAGCCTACCAACCAAAAGAAAAGCCCAGAACCAGATGGATTCACAGATGAATTCTACCAGAAGTACAAAAAGGAACAGATACCATTCCTTGTGAAACTAATCCAAACAATTGCAAAGAAGGAAGTCCTCCCCATTTTTATGTTTTTAAACATCTTTGCATGCCTATTTATTTATTTCAATAGTTCTCAAACACATTGGTTTCAGGAACTCTTTCCACTTTTAAAAATTATCAAGTGCTCCAGAGCTTTTGTTTACATGGTTTATAACTATAGATTTTTATCATATTAGAAATTTAAACAGAGTTTTAGAATTATATTGACTCTATCTTATCTATGTAAAATTAAAACCCATTATAGATCAACCCATCATATTTTATTTAAAAAAACTGTATTTTCCAACATAAATATTAAATTAGAAGGGTGGCATTGATTTACATTTTTATGATTCTCTGGAATGTCTGAATTAATAACAACAGCTTCTGCCATCCATCTATTGCAATCTGTATCTGCATCTGAAATAGCTGAAGAAAATCCAGCCTCCTACAGATTTGCAGTTGGAAAAGAGAAGAAAATAAATATGTCTCATACTAAACTATAACTCAATGAGAGGGAGTTTCTTAAAGTCTAGTGGTAATGTGGAATTATATCAATGAACTTTCCATACTCTTACATTAAAATCTACTGGCCTATTTTGCACTTTGAATAGCTGTTTAGCCATGCATGATCTTGTAATACCATGCATTCACTGGTCATTTTGGTAAATATTGGGTTCACAGATTTACATGGGTTTTACAAAATCTTGACATTATACTACACAATATAAAAATAACCAGATTTATTTTTCCTTTGATTTTTTTCCAGAGGGATCTTCAAGCACGAAATGCTGTCAGTTTCACAGGGACAGATACAATGTTTCCACAATTCTAATTGTTACTTGAAAGCTGCAATTTTGTCAATGATAGTAAATAGTTTGTTTTATTGTTTTCCTTCCGTGGCAAATTCTCAGATACTCAAGTGAACACCCGTAGTTTGTCTTTTAGTCATTCTTTGGATAAAAATATTATTCTATGAAAAATGTGGCTAGTTTAGCAAACAACTGAAGCAGGTACACAAAAACTTATTTTCAAGATAACCAGATCATGCCTCAGAAGTGCTTTATGCATATGTCCTGTTTTTTTTTTCTCTGAGACTATTACAGTGAGATATATTCAAGAAGGATTTAACAAAACTGATGATTTTTAATATTGTCTCAAGAACATACTTAAGTGAAGCTGGCTCTTTTTTTTTAACTGCTAGTGCATTGTGGTGAAGAATACAATGATTGCAAATACTGTTGGCTGATATTGCTTTAATTTGTACTAAGGAAGCAGCAGTTTTGCTGACTCTTACTTTAGCATAATCAGTGCAATTTCCATACAGTTAAAAAAGCAAATATTCTCTCTGTATTATGAAAATAGTTTTCACTTTTTACATTCCTTAGGATCTCAGGGATGGATACCCAGGGCATTGCAGGCTGAACTTTAAGAACTGTTGATATCTTTCATTTAGCCTTCATCAATCTATTAGGCATTAACATAACCAAAATTTCATTCTTATAAATTTTATAATGGTTATTTCTGCTTGGTGGGATCTGAGGTGTGATTTTTTGCACTTTGCTGTATGGCTTTAATTATATGTAAGTACTATTTTAATAAAAAAGCTGTCATATTCTTAAAAATAAAGAGAAATCATGAGAGATACAGTGATTAAAATCAACCTAAAATAAGGGCAAACAATAAAAACAAAGATAAAGTAATAAAAGTGAGGCAGCAGGAAATGATTATTTCAGAAAAGAGAAGGCTAAATGGGACTAAAAAAGGAATATACACACACACACAAATACCAAATGAGAGAGAACCTAAAGGATTTTCTTGTCCACACAAAGGACAGTTTCTAGTTTCTTACTGAGAAGGAATAAGAACTCTGAACTGACTGTATATCAACTATTGCTTGGTGCATACTAACTTGTAGATACGTCTCCTTACAGCTCATAGGCTCAGTCATCCTTAAAAAATGTTTTTGTCATCTTCACAGAGATTCTGGGAAAAAAAATCATTATAAATGTCAAATTCTGTAGTGAGCAAACTCATGTATAAGATTTTCTTCCTCTTAGGATATGTCCACATTCCTCCTCTTCCCCACTCCCACACAAACATTCACATGCAAATCTTGCAAACCTATTCTTAAATCAGCCTGCTTGTTTGGTTATAAAACATACAGCATTCTATTCCTTATTTCTGGTCTATTATTAACAAAAAAATACTATTGTAAATGGTTTTAATTGTCCCTAACACATAGATACATAAAACTTACAAACTTAGTACACTATTTTTTTATGTTTTATCTCAACAATTGTACCTTATAGAGTACTTACAACCCTCTTGTTTTGTAGTGACATCCTCTCAGTAAAAGATTAAAATTTGAAGTCAACATTTTTCAACTGTGAAGTACTGGATCCAATTACTCACAGCAACTAAAAGCAGAGTTTATTTTAATAGGATTTTCAGTAAAACAAGGCATATAAAAATCAGATGCATAGGCAAAGACTTTTTCATCTTTAATCATTAAGCTACCAGTACAAATTGAGCCCTGAAGTTATTTCATTCCCAAAGGAGATCAGAGATTTAAAGAATTCAGGGGGATTAAACATTCGTGTTTGAGTGAACAAGCTAAGTGTTTTTGTGCTTGCTATCATTAAAATAGTATTTTCAATGGTTTATTTTAGATGCATATACTATATATTTTCTTCTTTATAAAATGATGTCTTGTAACTCTTTCTAGGAGTTGGCATTAAAGTCTTGTAGAATGAATGTTTTATCATTCACTCTCCCAAATTTACTTTATGCATATTTAAAGTGAAGTGGGTTTTTGGTTTTGTTTGTTTCAGAACATCCTTCTTCCTAAGTGGATTGTTCTCCTTGGATATTAGACATTTTTGAGGCTCTAATTGTCTTGTTTACCTTATAATTTTTGTGTTAGGGAAAAAATACTAAGAATGGGAGAAAAATCTCCCATTAAGCTATGGCTTTGGAGGGTAAGTTTTAGTGTGTGACTACACAAGGATCTAACAAATCTTACAAAGTTTCAAAGTTTGTATGATAGATTTGATGATAGCATACACAAGCTTTTGTACCTTTCAATATATGACTCACTTGCTGTACCTTTTATTTCTTATGCAGGATAATGTGTATAAATGAAACATTTCCTCGTCAGAGGCTTAATAAGCCAGATGTACAAATAAGAATCATTGTCGGGTATTGTAGGATTCAGACAAGCAAGTACATTCTTCTAAAAATGTATACTATATTTTACAATACATAATGTAAATAATACCATAATACCCAGTACTACTTTAGCCACTGCCTTATAAAATGTGAACTCATGGGCTATGAAGAAAATGTTTATAAAACAATACACATAATGAAAGTTAGAACTGAGGAATAAGTCAAGAATTGTATGAAGATTAAGCTAATTGGCAGAAGCTACTTACCTAAAATGCTGAAGGAATGTGTTGACAGAGGAGGCATAAGGCCCAAGGTGTTGTAGCTAAAAATAGCCATATCCTGAGCCCTGTGTTAGGTGCATTACAAATTTTTTCTCATTTATTTTTACGGTTCAATATATGAGATAATATATCAGTTATTGTGTTCTTTTGCGAGTAACAAAAACACTAAGTTAAATTGGTTTAAATATTAAAGAAATGTAATATCTCACAATAATTGGAATTTTAGAGATAAGGCAGGCTTTAGGTACAGTTCTGTCTGTGGCTCCCTCTTGTCATCAAAAATTCATGATATTTCTTGATCCTTTTATTCTGCCTCGTTAACCCTTCGTCTTGCTTCGGTCTAGCTCATGTCAGGGTACAAGTGGTCACCAGTGGAAACTGAAGGCAAAAATGACTCCTTTAAAATTCCATTTAACAGGAAAAAGGAGAAAATCAAGCATATAATACAAGGCTTTTCTTTGGTGCTATTTGGTCTGTTTATTTCACATGCTCAATCATGAATGAATGACAGGACATACACTAATGACATTAACTGAGTTAGAATAACCAGGATTCATACCAGGAGATGAGGATGAGGGGCACCTTTCTCTGAGTGATTTTTGAAATGGGTAAATTCTTGAACAAAACTGGAGAAACAAAGAAGGTGGGTAAAGTTGTGGATGGAGGTTGACCAGGAGGTTGTCCAACAAAGAAAGATGCTTTTATCACTATGACCATTTTAGAATTAAGTGAGCTGGGACATAAAAGAGCTAAGTAACTTGCCTAGAAATAGAGCACTATGAGAAGGAAAACTGGGTTATAAAATCTAGGTGAGTAGTCTCAGAACCTTTACTCTGGGTTAGCACTGCAATTTTTAGATGGTAGCCATTAGGTCAGGATCTTGTCCTCGGGTGGCTCTGCATACCAAGTCTATTGCAACAAGAACCAAGCAATTTTAACTTTCCAAGACAGGAATGGAATCAGCTCCATGTGCAGAACGTGTCTCGTCTGCTCTGTCTACCACATCTTGCCACACTGAAATGATTCAATCAGTTTTATGCCCTATGCTTTCAAGTGTGGTCATTTAAAATCCTTGCCTCCAAACTGATAACCAGATTTTTCTTTATAAGAAAATATTTCAGAAAAAATTAAATACCTAGCATTGCCAAATCTTAAGTTTTTTGTTTGCTTCCAATCTTTGTTTAAAAAAAATTATAAATTTAATAAGAACCCTGAATTACCCCAAGTCAAATTTTATTCATATCTATCCCTCCCTAGATAGAACCATTTCCTTGAGTTGGATTTTCTCTTATTCTGTTCCAGCTGCTATTAGAAAATACCTTAAATTGGATAATTTTATAAACAACAGAAAATTATTTCTTCTAGAGACTGGGAAGTTCAAAATCAAGGCTCCAGCACATTTGGTGTCTGGTGAGGACAAGATCCTTACAGATGGTGGCTTCTATGTATCCTAACATGGTAGAAGAGGCAAAGGACTTGCTGCTGCCTGCAGACCCGTTTGTAAGAGTACTAATCCCATTCCTGAGGGTAGAGCTCTCGTGACTTAATTACTTCTTCAAGACCACACCTCTTAATGCTGTTACATCTGATATTAGTTTCCAACATATGAATTTTGGAGGCACATCAACATTCAGACCAAAGCGGTATTTATTTCTTGTGTATCATATTAAATTTCTTGTGTATCATATTTCTTGTGTATCATATATCATTTCTTGTGTATCATATACCTTTTTAATGCATGCATAATTTTATAAATAATATTTACATATTTACTATTGTTGTGTATGTTTAAAACCTTATGTTTGTTCTATATGTTTCTGTTGTCACTAATTATTATGCTTTTCATATTGGTCCATATTGATATATGTGGTTTTTATTCATTTATTTTGACAGCAATATAGTATTTAGCTTGCTCAATACTTTATAATATTTTTAATCCTTCCTTCTGATTAACATTGCTCCACATTCTCACACCATTGTATATTTTTATACTTTTTAATATTTGCCAAACTGAAGAATATAAAATAGTATTTCATAAAACTTCAACTTTAATTTGTTAATTACCATTGATACTAGGAGACTTGTCTCGTATTTACTGGCCATTAGATTTCCTTTTCTTACATTGTTCATTTTGTGGTACTAATTTGTTGGTTTTTAAAAATTATTTACTCTGGTT